>NC_000016.10:63653409-63956439 GCF_000001405.40 Homo sapiens
TTCCAAGATTCGCCAGCTAAACTGACATGAAGATCTTTTGGGAAGATTATCAAAGTGGGTTACCTTCTCTGGATAAATGAGAGTCTGTTTATATGTCCTGAGGCTCTTTTCTTAAATACTCAAATGCCATTTGTACCAAGTTCCTTTGAGAGAACAGATATGCTCTAGAGAATCTGTTACAACAAAGCAAAACAAACAGATCATCTGCAGCACCTTGAAAAGCATCACATGTAGTTGATGAGCTCGCCCTACTATAATCCCCTTTGTGTTTACAAAGCTTCAGATTTTTGGTATCTAATTGCTAGCAAACAGTAGATAATAAAATGCACTCATCAAACCAAACAGGATTTGAGTTCATTTTGTGGCTACATTGTCTCTGTCTAAAAAAATTTTATCTGAAATGTGCTTAATGAAAAGCCATTTTACACCTAGAGAGAGAAATTTAATTAGAATAAAGTGAATGAGCTGCCAATACCATCAATTCAGTGAACATTTTAGTATTTACTCGGCACTGCGCAAGGAGACGAAGAGATATGGGAGATTGATTTTTTTAAAGGTTTGTGTTTCCAGAACTTTCTATTTGAGGTTATGTGGTAGTGTGGGAAACAGTCTCAAAGGCTGCAGAAGAGACCCTTTGATGCCCCCTTCCATGCTTCTGTTTCAAGAGCATCCTAACATTAGTCCAAGCTGAGCAAGGGAGATGGAAGGAGTCACTCAAAACTAAATCCGCATTTAAAACAATACATTTGGCCAGGTGCCTGTAATCCCAGCACTCTGGGAGGCTAAGGCAGGCGGATCACCTGAGGTCAGGAGATCGACACCAGCCTGGCCAACATGGCAAAACCCTGTCCCTACTAATAATACAAAAATTAGATGGTTATAGTGGTGGGTACCTGTAATCCCAGCTACTGGGGAGACTGAGGCAGGAGAATCACTTAAACCTGGCAGGCAGAGGTTGCAGTGAGTCGAGATCACGCCACTGCACTCCAGCCTGGGCTATGACAGAATGAATCCCTGTCTTAAATAAATAAATACACAGATACATAAATAAATAAAACAATACTTTGATGAGGCCCTTTCCCACATAGGCTGTGATCTGCTCTTACTCTGTGGCCCTCTCTGGCACTAGGGCTTCCTACTAGTTCTCAGATCTTCCTTCAGATGTGTTTCAAGGAGGGGAGTTGGTGAAGAATGGAACTGTGAAAGTCTGGATCTTCATCACAGTAGCCTTAAAAGGAAGCTCTTTTGCTAGCTTCAGGTTATCTTAACCTGCAATTCAAAGATGCAAAGCTGGCCAGGATATGTGGTAAATAATGTCAGTAAGGTTGACCCTTAGAACAATTCTGGGGTGAAATAACACACAAAGGGTTCCTGATTCATTAAAGGCAGCTGAATTCTGACAGCAAATCTGTAGCCATAAAATTGAGGGCAGCTATAACAGACTTCGATGTCAGTTTCTCCATAAAGGGGCAGTTTATATTCTCTTACCCTGAAATTATTCTTGCAATTACACAGCTGACTTTAATATGCTTTGACCAGTTCTGATAATGTTGTCCATGCCTTTATTCTTCTATCTATATTGCCCCTTCTCCCTACAATATTCATCATCTATAGCTCAACTCATAGTTCTGAATACCACCCAGCATCACTTTTTTAAGGAAATTCCTCTCTGTAATTCAGGTATCTCAGTAATTCCACTATGAAAACATTTTAAATTATGCATTGGGATTGTCTATTTTGTCTGCCTCCACCACCAGGTTGTAAACTTCTTAAGAAAGAGCATAGCCTCTTCCTGTGTGTCTCCAGGTTCAAGCACCATGCCTGGTACAATGTAAGTGCTGAACTAAAGAAGAAAAATCAGCTAAGAAATCCCTTTTACTGAATTTGTCTCATAAATTTATGATTTATAGCACTCCAAGCTCTCAAAGAAAGATAGAGATCATTGCATTTAAGGATTCTCAACCATTCTGGTCACAGGACAAATGACAGTTACATTTGCAAGTACCACTTATGGGATATATTTATATTTTGGGGAAAAATGCAAGATTATAAATTAATACAATAATTTTTAATCACCATACTCAAGAACAGACTAATAATATCATTCTGTTCACTATGGTCCTGGATTAATTAATTTTCAGACTTTTGCAATTTCAGAAATCTTAACTGTAGATTCACCCATCAAAATCTACATCACAATGGCCAGGAATTGCCTGTTTAATTTTTTATTATTCAGATTATAAACCCTATGTAGGCAAGTCTGTGTAACAGAAAATTCAGTGACTTAATGGGTACCGTATATGATTCCCTCTGGTGAGATTTTGACTTAAGAGACACAAACACTCTTTATTATAAGTCATGACTTGTATTCAAGTTTCATGTAAAATAATATGTGAAGCCATATGTGAACTTATACAGGGCAAGACACCAGAAAGAGCTCTATCATAGCAAGAAGAGATACCACGAAATTGTATTTCTATTTCATTGAACTCCTGATGATGCCGGGTGAAAGGCTAGTGATTTGACTCTCATACATATTGAAATTCTCACAGAACAAAAGTCTGAGTCTTTTTCCCAGAGTCTGGTATCCAGTCCTACTAGGTCTTTGTGTGCTGACTGTGAAAGCAGTGAGCAACAGGAGCCCACACGCCCGCAATCATCATTGTTCCTATGAGATTATCTCAATAAATGCTGCTCTAACAAGCCTGTGCATGTGTGCATCTTAATCATTTGGCCTTGTTTGCTTGAACTAAGCAACATTTTCCCCATGTCCTAACCCACAGCATAATTAATTCTTCATTCTTCCTTTTGTGTTAATGCTGAAATTTATATTGGTTGTTTTCTCCAAAATCCATAATCAAAATTTGAGGTTGCAGAATATCCTGGGAAATCCATTTGCCATCCTCTTGATATAGAGTCCTCTTTTCTATATGTATTCATTTTAATTTATTCCATAATTTAATTAATGTACATTTTCCACCAAGAGATGTTTATACAATTTTTAGCCCTTTTATGCTCTGCTCTTACACTTGATTGATAATTGGTTTTGATATAGAAGCCTAGGATTCAAGTATTTTTTAATGAGAATTTTGATAGCATTATTGTGATATATTTTAATATCCAATATTACTGTTGACAAGTCTTATTCTATATGCATTTACATTATTTTGCACATGACCTGTTAGTCTATTTAGAAGACAGTGAAGATCATTATCTCTGATGTTCTAAAACTTCATGATTGTATACCATGGTGTGTTTGTGTGTGTGTGTGTGTTTGTCTGTGTGTGTGAGTGTGCATTACTCTGTTTCCTTTAGGCTTTTTGAACACTTTCAAGTATCTTCTTCTGTGTTTTTACTGTTATCTCTATCTAAAACTTGAATTAAATTTTGAGACTTCCAATTACACTTTTAAAAAAGTTTGCATCTTCTACTTTTCATATTTTAATTTTTGCTTTTGGCTTACTCTTAATACCTTCTCTTGATGTTATCTCTTCAGCATTCTAATGATTAAGGAATACATGCACACACACACACTTATATGAAATGTTCTTAACTAAAAAATAATTTTATTTGCTCTTTGAATTTTATGATTTCCTATTGGCTTGATTGGTCGCTCTCATGTTGGAGTATTTCCTCAAGTATTTAGTAGTCCTTGGGTATCCATTCAATAAAGCAACAAAACATGCATAGAGAAAGTATTAATGACTAGTTATCCTTGGGTTACAGTCTATATATTGTAGCCCAACATTTTATTTGGGATATGTATGTGGAGGTGTTTGGGTCATTCAGTATCTCCAAAAGAGAATCCTCTCATCTCTTGCTTGAGTATGAATAAGCCACAATTCCAAAATGTTGTGAAAACAATGGCTAAAGAAGAAATAGTCTTCAGTACACTATGTAAATCATTACTTTTTCACTTTTAACTGTCCCATCCCCTGTTCACCTTACCTCCACATTCTGACTAGTATGGCTGAACCCAGGTATTTTGATTAAATTTCTCTAAATAATAAACCTAAATAAACCGATTTCTCTAAATAATAAAAGAAAGAGTCATTGGAGGAGGAAGGAGTAATTTCTAAGGTGTGTGAGATAAAAGAGAAGCAGGAGAGATACAAAAGAATATTTGTAAAGACCCTGTGTTCACACCTTCAACAATCCACCTTCTAATTCTGAACCCCCCACCACCCACCAGGGGTTCTGCAGGGCAAATTGTCCAATTTCTGTCTTTCCCCTCAGAACGCACTTATGATTTAACTTTCTTCTGTAACAGTTGCAACTCCTCCTCCTCCACCTGTATTCTAGCTGCCAAATTTGCTGAAAAAATTGGTCTGCTCTTTTCTTGTTATCGTTCTCTTTGTCATTTAAATAAATAGCACCTTACTCCTCTTTTTCTGCAGCATAGTGAAGGGTTAAAGGGAGGAAAATTAAACTGCATGTGGTCAATACCTTGCATTATATTTATTAGATCGGTGCAAAAGCTATCACGGATTTTGCCATTGAAAGTTACAATTAAAAAAAGCAGGCCCAGCGCGGTGGCTCACGCCTGTAATCCCAGCACTTTGGGAGGCCGAGGTGGGCGGATCACGAGGTCAGGAGATGGAGATGGAGATCGAGATCATCCTGGCTAACACGGTGAAACCCCATCTCTACTAAAAATACAAAAAATTAGTCGGGCGTGGTGGCAGGCGCCTGTAGTCCCAGCTACTCCAGAGGCTGAGGCAGGAGAATGGCATGAACCCAGGAGGCGGAGCTTGCAGTGAGCCGAGATCACGCCACTTCACTCCAGCCTGGCCGACAGAGCGAAACTCCGTCTCAAAAAAAAAAAAAAAAAAAAAAGCAAAGAACATCTAAATGTTGAAAGAAACAACAAATTGATCTCAGTTTCAAATTATTAGATTTGAAAGGAAAATTTTAAAATATGTAGTTACATGAATGAGGGGCATAGGAGTCACACGTTTTTGCTTATGCAAACAGAAAACTTAACGACATATAAAACACAGATGTGAAAATTTAAATGGCTGGCACAGAAAACCAGATTGACTACTCTAAGGCAGGAAAACAAGTAAACATTTTTCAACTCCAAATTATCTTCAGTGCTTGAAACAGGAGGAAAAGTAGTCAAACACATCCCTGTGGAAGAAAATGGATGCAACACTTGGAAAAAATAATATGGCAATATGAATAAGAATCATTTTTATGCTACCTATTTTATTAATTCTGATTCTGGCACTCTAGCTTATGAAGTGGCAGGGAGAGGCAAATATTGTAATAATAAATAAATCATGTATAATTGGTGAAAGAAGGAAAATAGGAAGAAAAGAAAGACAAACGACAGGAAGAAAAAAAAACCTGGATAAAAACTGGTAACCAAGACATTTTCCTACATAAAAATAATATATGCATAAGACAGACTGTATGAAGTTCTTAAAAATGGCTTCTTTCATATGTTCCTTGGCTGCATAAATGTCTTCTTTTGAGAAGTGTCTGTTCATATCCTTCACCCACTTTTTGGTGGGGTTGTTTGGTTTTTTCTTGTAAATTTGTTTATTTGTAGATTCTGGATATTAGCCACTTGTCAGATGGACAGATTGCAAGAATTTTCTCCCATTTTGTAGGCTGCCTGTTCACTATGATGATAGTTTCTTTTGCTGTGCAGAAGCTCTTTAGTTTAATTAGATCCCATTTGTCAATTTTGGCTTTTGTTGTCATTGCTTTTGGCGTTTTTGTCAAGAAATCTTTGCCCATGCTTACGTCCTGAATGGTATTGCCTAGGTTTTCTTCTGGGGTTTTTTTATAATTTCAGGTCTTACATTTAAGTCTTTGAGCAATCCTATTACTGGGTATATACCCAAAGGATTACAAATCATCCTATTAAAAAGACACATGCACACATATGTTTATTGTGGCACTTTTCACAATAGCAAAGACTCGGAACCAACCCAAATGTCCATCAATAATAGACTGGATAAAGAAAATATGGCACATATACACCATGGGATACTATGCAGCCATAAAAATGGATGAGTTCATGTCCTTTGCAGGGACATGGATGAAGCTGGGAAACATCATTCTCAGCAAACTATCACAAGAACAGAAAACCAAATACTGCATATTGTCACTCATGAATGGGAGCTAAACAATAAGAGACACATGGACACAAGGAGGGAAGCATCACACACCGGGGCCTGTTATGGGATGGGGGGCTAGGGTAGGGATAGCATTAGGAGAAATACCTAATGTAGATGACAGGTTGATGGGTGCAGCATACCACCATGGCACATGTATACCTATGTAACAAACCTGCAGATGCTGCACATGTATCCCAGAACTTAAAATATAATGAAAAATAAAATAAATAAATAATAATAATAATAATAGCTTCATGGCCAGGCACAGTGGCTCTTGCCTGTAATCCCAGCACTTTGGGAGGCCGAGGTGGGTGGATCACCTGAAGTCAGGAGTTCGAGACCAGCCTGGCCAACATGGCAAAACCCCTTCTCCACTAAAAATACAAAAATTAGCAGGGAGTGGTGGCAGGCACCTGTAATCCCAGCTACTGGGAGGCTGAGGCAGGAGAATTGCTTGAACCTGGAAGGCGGAGGTTGCAGTGAGCCGAGATCACATTATTGCACTCTAGCCTGGGAGACAAGAGCGAAACTCCATCTCAATAATAATAATAATAATAATAATAATCATGGCTTCACATATTAAAAAATACCATCTACTAATGGTAGTTTTGAATGTTGGACACAAAATCATGTATGCAATGTGACCACTGCTCACTTGGACAGGTTCGAATCATAATCCTGAAAAACACAATCCCAATGCCGTCATTCCAAATGTTGAAATCCTAAAAGATCACAATCCCTAAATTATAAATCCCTAAAGTCTCAAATCCTTAACACCTAACATCGTGAAAATTTCAATCCCAGGATAGTGGCAACATGTTAGGTAGAACCATTACCTTGTTATCGTCTTTATTTAAAAATGAAGTATGGTTTCAGGAGATGCATATGGGTGCCAAGTGGACAAGGGGCGGACTTGCGAACTTAATTTTAGGTGTCAGTTTGACTGGACTATGGAATACCTACAAACCTGGTAAACGTTATTCTGGGTATGTCTGTGAGGGTGTTTTGAGAGGAGATTAGTGTGTGAGTCTGAGTGGATTCGGTGGAATGCTCATGTCAGTGTATATCGAATCATAGAAGAATTTCAAAGAGGAGGGCATTGTGGAAAATAATGTGAAATAATTCTTTGACGATAACTACATCCTAAAAAATAAAAAGCAGCTATTCATTGTGATGCAAGACTTCAAAATATGCTAATAATCATGAAAGTGGCCAGCTCTTACAGACTATATTCGTGCAATTTCCTAACACCTATCCCCATAATACACTTTTCCATATGTCAAATTATCTTGTTAGGTTTTAGTATTTTTTCACTATTTTAAATTGTAAGCAGTATTTTTTTTTTGTAATTTGCTATGGCTACATATTTCATCTCTATTTCCAATAGTGTAGGTATAAATTGTTTAAAGACTTTTAGAGAGTTCTAATTTGTAGTATGCATTTTTTGCAAACTTAATTCCGCAAAAGTGTATTATCACAACATTGACTTTGTGTGTAAGCATCATGCATGTACATAAAAACATTGAAACTTCCTCAGTAAATGAAGAGATGTCCTTTTTGTCCATCTGCATTTATGAAAGATAAAATTTCTAGAGATCTTGGCTCTTTAACTGCATATGAAGAGGTGACAACATTGCCATTTTTGATTGATCTATCAAAAGACTTTGGTTGTTCTTCACAATAATTCAGATGCTGGGTGTACACAGTTACCAACTATAATAATATCTGTTTATACATTTCCCTTTGACCTATTTCTTTAAAAATATGTTTTGTCTGCTTATAACTATTACACTATTACACCCATGCGACTGTCTTTACTGTACCTGAGTGCCTATGCTTGCAGCAATATGTATGTTACTATCACCTGTTTTATTGTGTGTTTTTATGATTCTGAAATGAATCCCCTTCTAAAAATATAAATAATCATCTTTTAAATAACTTTTAAATTGTTTTATTCAAAATTATATTGGCAGATAATTGATCTTTTGAGATTGTGATTTTTTGACCCTAGGGATTTTGATCTTTCAGAATTTCAATATTTGGGATTTGGCATTTAGGATTGTGTCTTTTGTGGGTATAATCGGCTCCCACTTGGACTGGCCCTTGAATTCAGAAGACTCTTGAAACTTAGCAACCATTTGTTCATCTGTCTTTGGTGCATTCCAACAAGTCCTACTTCAGTATAATTCCTATGTGTTCAGAATAAGCCCAGAAAACCACAGTTGCTGACTGTATGCAGTTGAACAAAATAGGCAACTGATATTTTTCTCTTCTTCTTCCTTTAAACAAGGCAACATTTTCATAAGTAGGAGTTGAGGCATTGAAAGATGAAATTGGCACCTTTGTTATAAGAGAGACAATTGGAAACTGACCATCTGAATCTTTGTTTAATGCTAGCAATGTTATGTCTTATAAGAGTCTGTTAGTTGGCTGGGTGCGGTGGCTCACACCTGTAATCCCAGCACTTTGGGAGGCCGAGATGGGCGGATCACGAGGTCAGGAGATCGAAACCATCCTGGCTAACACCGTGAAACCCCGTCTCTACTAAAAATACAAAAAATTAGCCGGGCGTGGTGGCGGGCACCTGTAGTCCCAGCTACTCGGAAGGCTGAGGCAGGAGAATGGCATGAAGCCGGGAGGCAGAGCTGGCAGTGAGCCGAGATTGCACCACTGTACTCCAGACTGGGCGACAGAGTGAGACTCCATCTCAAAAAAAAAAAAAGAGTCTGTTAGTTATGGAAAGTGATGGAGGGTTAACTTCGGTGAGGGTGCACATTATAATCTCTTATGACATCAGCTGTCTTTTCTAGTAAAAGTCTAAAGGGCAACACAATTGGAATCTTGTTTACTTTGTTTCCAAGGATGAGTTTTACTTCTGAAGGGGGGGAGTACCTGGCAGAATGAAATAGTTTTTATTTATTTATTTATTTTTATTGCATTTTTGAGCCAGGATCTCACTCTGTCGCCCAAGCTGGAGTGCAGCAGTGCGATCATGGCTCACTGCAGCCTTAACCTCCCAGGATCAAGTGATCCTCGCATCTCTGCCTCCAGAGAAGCTGGGACTACAGGTGTGCACCAGGATGTCTGTCTAATGTTTGTATTTTTCACAGATACAGGGTCTTGCCATGTTGCCCAGACTAGTCTCAAACTTCTGGGCTCAAGCAATCCACCTGCTTCAGCCTCCCAAAGTGCTGGGATTACAGGTGTGGGCCACTACACCAGCCTACGTTTTTATTAACACATGAATTTACCCATGTAGCCCCTCCATTGCAGAATGCAATGAAGATTTTTGTGTGCTTCTCTCATGAAACTTATTACATTGTCATTTGTTTTTTGAGATGGAGTCTCACTCTGTTGCCCAGGCTGGAGTGCAGTGGCATGATCTTGTCTCACTGCAAACTCCGCCTCCCAGGTTCAAGCGATTCTCCTGCCTCAGCCTCCCAAGTAGCTGGATTACAGGTGTGTGCCACCAGACCTGACTAATTTTTGTATTTTTAGTAGAGATTAGTTTCACCATGTTAGTCAGGCTGGTCTCAAACTCCTGACCTCAATTGATCCACCCACCTCGGCCTCCCAAAGTGCTGGAATTAGAGCATGAGCCACAGACCCGGTCCAATTTTATTTTTTATAATTATTCATTGTAATATCCATTATTCTACAAGCGTCATTCTATGTAAATAGCAAGTGCCAGATATGGCCATTTGGGCAAGTCATGTGATAACACAGAAAACAACACATACACTTGTCTCTCTGCCACCACACATAAAATCTGTGATTCTACCCTTTACTTGCTGCATCTTAGTTGCTTGGCACAGTGCCAGACAAAATAAAAGGTATTATCTAAGTTTATCTTTACATAAATTGATGAGTTCATAAGTGAACTCAGGTGTTGGTGCCTTGTATTTTGTTCCTATTTTTAAAAGATGTTAAATATTAAATGTATCTCTTGCATTCTCTCATTTCTCTCTCTCCTGGCCCTCCCCTCTCTCCCTGTTATTGGAAGCTTGAGGCTAACCAATCTTGCCCATCAATAAACGTTACATGAATGAATGAATGAATGGTGGTTCATGATCAAGGTCTCCAGATTGCATCCCTGATATTCTTCTTTTCTCACATTCTTTTCTTAGCACATTCTCCCTAGTCAATCTCAGCAACTGTAATCATTTTAGCCATTATGCCTATGCAGAAAATGTCCAAATAAATGTCTTCAAATCAGAATCCTTCTGACCTTCCAATCCATGAGTAGCTCTGCCAACTTGTTATCTACCAATATGACCTACTGGCTCCACAAACTGAATTTTTTTGAATATTTTTATAACCCATCTTTTTGTGCTGTCCATCCATAATACTCTGCTTTCAAGTAGCTCATATTCTAGTCAGGAGGAATACATAAAAAATAAGTATAAAATACATTATGAAGATCGTTATATAATGGTATTTCAGACCCTTGTCATTTGGCATCTTGACTCTAGCAATTGCCTTTTGCTTCTTATCTTTTCTTTAATCCATCCTCTTTGGACTGATCTTCTAACATATTGATGGGTTTAGCAGAGATAGATAAATGTAGGGAGTTCCTAGGATGAATGTCCTGGAAAAGGGTGGGGTGTTCTGCTTTTCTTCCAGGAAAAGTTGACATATAATGCCAGATGTTGATACTTAAAAATATGTCTGAAATAGTGCCAACATTCAAATCAGAATATATATGTTGTTGCCATCCAAATTCCAAACAATAAGGTTGAGATGATAATAGTCGCTGAGTTACAGTGACAAAAAGTATTGGTCAAAGGGAAATAAGAAATAAACAGAAAAGTCAACTGAATAAATAAAAAGTCGGCAATCAGCAGGTGGTTTAGAAAAATTCTGAACTTAAGTTGTCAAAAACACAATTGTAAATTTTATGCCCATTTTTATCTGTGCCTATTTGTTGAGAAATATTTATATAGAGGGTCAGTTATACAGCAAAGAAATATTTCCATTACATAACCATCTTCATAATGTATTTTATAGTTCTTTTTTATGTATTCCTCCTGACTACAATATGAGCTTCTTGAAAACAGAGATGGCATTTTCTTTATCATGTTAATTCTAGTACTTAGTTTAAGACCTGAGCCAGAATAAGTGGCCATGAATGTTGGTTGAATTAATGAATGAAAAATTATCATAAGGCAGCAACAAGAACGTCACTTAAATAACTGAATAGTGGTGTAATTATAATAAAACTGCCCAGAACTTTTTGCTGAAATATTTTCCTGATCTTGGTAAATTCAGATGATGCCAGCTTCTTTTTTCCTCCAAGCTCTGTCTCTGCATCTCTTTGCCAGGTCTCACATCAGCAGTATTCTAAGGAAAACTTAGAAAACCTTTAATGACTTTGGAGATATCTTCTCAAAGTGATGTTGTGAGAAGAGTGATTTCATGCTGAATTCCATTCACTTCTGAGAGGGGCTTATACCATTCCTTGCAACAGCAGGCACTCCAAAACAGCAGCCAAGAAGGAAAGCAATGGTAGGGAGATTCCCCTCCCTGCTGTTGATGAAAGAGTTTTTAGAATGAAGCTTATTGATCCTTGGTAAGTGAATGGTGCAATTGTGAAGTCTCCCTCCACGATATTAAAGCAAAACCCATTCTAAAGGAAGTCCTGCCTAACCCACTAAGCTGACTCTATTGAACAAATTGATAAGGCCTCCCCATCTTTTAGTGATGTATTCCTGGAAAGGCTTTTTCCCAGGATGTGGGTCCATTTCGAGTGAATCACATAGTTACTTGTCTCTCAGGGAAGCAGATCCATTAGGCAGTAATCTTAGAGGAGGGGAAATGCCATGCTCTTACTTGCCAAAATGAATTGCTTGCTAATATTTCTGCTTTGAAAGCACTTAAGGTAACTTCTGCTTCATAAAGTTACTTATTAAAAGTCAAAAAGTTTAATATTGTTAAATTTTCTAACAGCAATCAGCAGTGGGATTCAGAATCATACTATTCCACATTTCAGAGAAGCATCACAAATCAGCTGGTGTCATGGGAGTACTTGAATTTCTGCCCAGGTATTCCTTTGTAAGGCCTCTGTTAGAACCTTACCCCAAGCAAGAGCTGCTGTTGCTGACAGTACCACAGCTGATGTGTGATTTTAGACAAAATTTCTTAATTGCTGCAGATCCACACAGATTATGTAGGCACAGTGATTATTCTCAGTGATGAGAGTGACTAGAATGTTCGCACCTCCTGTGCAAGCTATATCTGGTTGAGATTTTACATGTATTTATTGAATGCCTAATATATGGCAGGCACAGAGCTGATGCATTTCCACATGGTTGCATTTAACTTTCACAACAATTTTGTGAAGTTTCTAATATTGTCTCCATTTTACAAGTGATGAAATTTAAGTACAGACAACTTAAGTGTTTTTTCCTAAAATCATAGAGATGAAGTAGGAAACAAAAGATTAGAAGTCAGGTTTCCTGATTCTAACTTAGAGCTATTTCCTATACTCTCAACATATGACCTCTTATCTTTCTACATTGACTTTAAAGGATTTAATACCTCATGCTCAGATGGTGCCTGGCAATTCCTGTTCATTGTCTCTATTTTCCAAGCATCTTATTATCTAATTTAAAAAAAAACCGGAACATGTACTTTTTTGGAAACCTTATATTACAAACATTATGTTGTTCTGTTATTTAAACCAAGATTCAGCAAATTACCACATGCTCTTGTAAATAAAACTTTATTGAAAGATAGTCACACCCATTTGTCTATGTATTGTCTATGGCTGCTTTTTTCCTGCGATGGCAGAGCTGAGAAGCAGCAACACAAACTTCATTGCCTGCAAAGTCTAAAATATTTATAATTTGGCCTTTTACAGACTCCTGCCATAGAGAATTTAGAGTTCTAACTCTGAACGTGGCCCTTATATTAGTGTTAATCCATGTATGTGTCCAATTTGCTTTAGTGTACTAAGATGCCCCTAGATAATGCTAATGTAATTATACATTTTAAATTAAAGTATTGTCTAAAATGTTTGCTCACTCTTGGTTTAAGCCATGAAAAATCATTCACAGAAATTATTTGCCTTCGTGCGTAAATGTGCTGGGATGTTCACATACGCACTTTAAAATGTCAGGCAAATCATTTCTTGAAAAAGGCTGGGTTTGCATATGAATGTTGTATCTACATATATATGTTTCTGCCACCTCTCATACCCCATCTTTCATTCCAGCTATTGCTGCAATGACAAGTTTTCTAGAAAAACATTTAGAATAGCTTGTCTCAGCTGAGCCACATTTCTCTCTCTTGCTGTCTTAGGGTTTCTTTGATGCCACAGGATGGGATGTCTGGAGGTATCTATTCCCATGCAGTACGAAACTGGACAAGGAAGGGATTTACATCCCATGGTCAATCCTTAACTCATAGGATTAAACAACAACACAAAACAGTAGATAATACCTCTTTTTTTTTTTTTTTCCAAGCCTCGCTCTGTCGCCCAGGCTGGGGTGCAGTGGCGCAATCTCGGCTCACTGCAAGCTCCGCCTCCCGGGTTCACGCCATTCTCCTGCCTCAGCCTCCTGAGTAGCTGGGACTACAGGCGCGCACCACCACGCCCCGCTAATTTTTTGTATTTTTAGTAGAGACGGGGTTTCACCTTGTTACCTTGTTAGCCAGGATGGTCTCCATCTCCCGACCGCATGATCTGCCCGCCTCGGCCTCCCAAAGTGCTGGGATTACAGGCATGAGACACCACGCCCAGCAGATGACACCTCTTAATTTTGTCCCCTGCTCACACAACTCAGAGACGCATTCCACATGGATCCTTAGATATTCTTAGAGATGTAGAAGCTCAGATGCCCATAATGAGGACTAGTTTTATAATACACCCTTAGACTGGCTTTTTGTTCTTCCCTCTTTACCCTATCTAATTCCTCACTCCTAATCCCTAGGATCACTTCCTGAAATAAAATAACTACACTTATACACCCACTCGAACCCACAGAATATAGAAATATATGTGTATTGTTATATTAGAGTTGGCAAATGAGATGTTTACTTCCAGCAATTTCCCCCTACCATGACCACAGCATCCCTTATTATGCCTGTATGTTGCCATGAACAAGGAGCCTCTGAATCTTTTTCTATATAGCATGTTTGAAAATTGCTACTAAATATCCAAAGTCACCACTGGAAATAAAAATCTCTGTCATACCCAGTAACTCCAATACTATGTAAGCCTAAATGTAATGCGTGTGTGGCGAGAGATGGGAGAGGATAAGTGCTCACAGGCATACACATATACTATGGCATCACACAAAATTTATTTTGAATTATGTTTTATTATTGAATACATTCAAAATATAATTTTATATTACATAGTGACATATATTGTTATAGTGCATGTAATATAATTATTTGAAAACTGGCTATGTATATACATGGATACATATATATGTACATATCCACAATGGTTGAGTTAGCATTCAACATCAAAGAAACCACAAAACAGAGAAATTCAAAATAGAACAAAAATACTAATACAAAGCAGTGATATAATTTTGATCAAGCCTATGAAATTAGATTTAATTATTAGAATTCATTTTGTTTAATATTCATTCTTAGGTTCTCATATTTTAAAATTGTGAATGTTTTTCTTCATTTTTTTGGACTGAGAAACAAGGGTAATGTGAAACACAATGCAGTATGGGGTTGCCGTTTTGTGGTACTATTAGTTAATTCAGTTAGCACAATGTCTTCTCTCAGGAAACAGCAAGACAGTGTTTATCAGTCAGGTCCTAATATAACTGGCATCATCAGGCTTAATAGACAATATATTCTACTACAAGTTTAAAGAAGATACAGACATGCTCTTCAAAATGATGTCTCTTATACTCACCTTCCATAAAATCTGATGTCATAATATTATATCTTTACTCTGTGAAGGTATTTTCCTGTCGGCTGCAGGAATTATGTCTTCTAGTGCCATAAAATCTGTCCTTGATCCACAAAAGAGAGGCTTCTAGAGAAAATATAGTCTCTCAACACGAGTTGGAGTGATGAAGAGATTATGGGGCCTACAGTAAGACTCTCATATGTCTAAGTCTGGGATGTGTGTATATGTGTGTGTGTCCTTCTTTGACCCTCTGTCTCATTCTCAGTAGTATTTTTATTGCTCCTGTAATGAATTACCAAAAACTTACTGGCTTAAAACATCACAAATTTACTACAGTATGGTTCTTCAGGCCAGAAGTCAGATGCAGGTTTCACTGGACTAAAATCAGCATGTTGGCAGAACTACATTTATTATTGGAGGCCCTGGGAGATAATTTTTTTTCTTGTCCATTCTATCTTCTAAAGCCCATCTACACTTATTTTTCCTGTCTCCCTTGCTCTATCTTTGAGATCAGTAACGGCATTTTCCTTATCATTATTTTATACTTATATTGTTCTCTGATCATGGCTGAGAATGGTTCCCTTCTTTCATGGACCTGTGTAATTAGAAATCTCACTCAAAATAATCTTCTCATCTCATAGTCTACATATTATTCCATTCTTGCACTGCTATAAGGATATACCTGAGACTGGATGATTTATAAAGGGAAGAGGTTTAATTGGCTCACAGTTCTACAAGCTGTACAGGAAGCATGGCTGGGAAAGCCTCAGGAAACTTAGAATCATGGTAGAAGACAAAGGGGAAGCAGGCACGTCTTACATAGCCAGAATAAAAGGAAAAGAAGAGGAAGGAGTGCCAGACACTTTTAAACAAACAGATCTCATGAGAACTCTATCATAAGAACAGCACCAAAGGGGGAAATCTGCCTCCAAGATCCAATAACCTCCTACAAGGCCCCACCTCCAACACTGGGGATTAGAATTCAACATGAGATTTGTGTGGAGACACACAGATCCAAACCATATCAGTCTACAACCTTAATCACATCTGAAAAATTACTTTTTCCATGTAAGATAACATATTCATAGGGTCTGTGGATTCGTGTGTGGACATCTTTGGAGAAAGGACATGAGTCTACCTATCATATCAATATGGAGACTAAAAATATCTGTCTTATTAAACTACATGGTTGATTTAATCAGATGATTTGGGTAAAGTGCCTACCATACTCTAGCCTACACTGGGTGATTTATAGGTGTAAGCAATTTTTCCAATTTTCCTCATTTCCTTTTAGGTACTTAAACACTATGAAGTTTTTATGAGGCAGACATATAAGAATACTGGTGCATGTTAAAAACCATGTGTCATATTCCTGGGTGATGATACTAACCTAGAACAGACACAGATTAAGAAGTGAGAAAAAAATATTCATTTAGTCAAATAGAAACATTCATGTGCACAAAGGTTGTAAATTCACTAAGGAAGAACAATGTAAAAATATATTGATACTTTTTACCCACATCATTCTTATGATCTCACTGTTAATAGTCTATTTTTATATATTTCAAAACTATATAGAGCCATTCTTGGGAAGCAGTAATTTTTTTTCTTATTTATTATAGTATTTCTGTACCAAATGTTGTATGTGAGCATGTGTGTACTTCTGCAATACTTTTATCATAATTACTACAGATATATTTATATAACATACAGCATTTTATATAATGGTTCTTATAATGCATAAATATATGTTAAGCAAGGTAGTGCAATATAAAAATACACACATGTATATGTATGTATGTACTCTGTGTTTGATTTATTCACATATACCTGTGTTTGAGTTCTCCATCTGTTCATAAATAATTCAGTGTGTTAGAACAACATTTTGCATACATTAAATTCACAATATTTAGCTGTTATATCTGTGTGTTTATATATATACATATATATCTATATGAGTTTATAGACACACACTTTCTTTTTCACCTTTTAAGTGTCATGGCTTTTGTTCTTGCCAGATCCCCAAATCATGAAATATAGTAAAATGGTTGTGGTTTCAAGCTGTTAACTATTGGCGTCATTTATTTCATAGTGATTGATAATGATATAAGGTTGAAGTCAAGAATGGTATTGAATTCCTAAGCAGTCAGTCCACAGGAGATGATGGAATGAAAGATAGTATTTCAGGCCATTGGTTAAAGACAAGTAGAGATTAGAAGAAAAAGATCATGCATTCTCAAAATGGAAAAAATTGAACCCTATGTTTTAAATTCAGTTTTAAAGAAAACTGGCTATTTGAAACTTCAACATAGTACAGATACATAAATGTGAAAGATAGGATGTGTGCTATATTTTCTACGTTGGGTCTAAGTAGGTTCTTTAGGAAAGAAAGAAAGAAGAGGGAGAAAGGAAATAAAGAGAGAAATTAAGAAAGTCATGCAGGGCAGGTACAGTGATTCACACCTGTTTTCTCAGCACTTCAGGAGGCTGAAGTGGGAGGATCACTTGAGACCAGGAATTCGAGGCCAGCCTGGGCAACATAGCAAGACTTTGTCTCTACTAAAAAATATTTTAACAAGAAATTAATTGGTCTTGACAGTGCATTTCTGTAGTTTCAGCTACTCAGAAGCTGAGGCAGGAGCATCACTGAGCCCAGGAATTCAAGGTTGGAGTGAGCTATGATCATGATTACACCACTGCACTCCAGCCTGGGAAAACAGGGGAGACCCTGTCAAAAAAAAAAAAACAAAAAGAAGAAAAAAGAAAAGAAAAGTAAAAAATGTGAGACAGAGGTTTTGAATGAGATGCAAATCAATACGTAGGTCAAATAAGCCAGGGTCTAAGTAATCAGTTTTCCATAAACTTAAAGGGCCAGTTCTTGCAATCTGTTATAGATAGGATGCCATTTTCTTCTCTTTTTCTTTTTTGTACTTTTAAACCTTCCAGATGCACATGATATAATTCAGGCTTTTTAGAAATTGTGGTTCCTCTTGAAACCACAAGGATGCTGCTTTCAAATAAGTAGCTACTTTCAGTGTATTTAGCTGTTTCTTGAATGTATCCATCAAAATGTAATGGTAATTTAGCCCACAGTGCATGATAGAACATGGTTTGGAAACACCACTATTTATGTTGAGGACTCCTTCACTTGCAGCATATGCTGCTCCCTTTCCTTAGAATCTCCTCTTTCTGGGCCAGGCGCGGTGGGTCATGCCTGTAATCCCAGCACTTTGGGAGGCCAAGGTGGGTGGATCACCTGAGGTCAAGAGTTCGAGACCAGCCTGGCCAATATAGTGACCTGTCTCCACTAAAAATACAAAAAATTAGCTGGGTGTGGTGGTGGGCACCTGTAATCCCAGGTACTTGGGAGGCTGAGGCAGGAGAATCGCTTAAACCTGGAAGGCAGTGGTTTCAGTGAGCTGAGATCGCGCCATTACTCTCCAGCCTTGGCAAGAAGAGCAAAACTCCTTCCCCACTCCCCCTCTCCCAAAAAAAGAATCTCCTCTTTCCTTTTGCTTCTTCATGATAGACATATCATGAATTCATCCTCTTGTTGTTAAAAGTGAGTTTAGCATAGCCTACTGGATTCTGAGCTAGATTGCTCAGGCCCAAATTCTGTACCACTTACTGGCTGTAAGACCCTGGCAAAGTCATTTAATTTCTCTTTGCCTCTAATTTATATCTTAGTGGTCTAAAAATGGCATTGTTCCTTCAATACGCATGTTTATTAAAAGAAATGAAAGAGCTGATGTACATAAAACAGTTTGAAGGTACCAGGCTTGTAGTACGAACTCAAAACACACAATATTATAGACTCAAAATCAATGTTTCTTTGAAGACTTCTCAGAATCCTCAAGTAAGTTTCATTCCCCATCATATTTTTCCACCATAGCACTTTTTAAAATCACACAGAGCAGGATTAAAACAAACTTTGTTGTCAAGCATTTGCTGTTTGACCTTGAAAAAGTAATTTAACAAACTCGAAGTTTGTTTTTTTTTTCCTACCCACATTACATCAACATTGTAAGAACTTATATAAAATATATAAAGGACCTTAAACCTTGAAGTCACCTAGTGGTGGATAGCTATTATACTGGCATTGCCAAAAGTTATAAGGCTTGGCTATTCATAGAAGCACATTATGGAGTCTTAGGAATAAATAATCCTGCTTAGACAGAATCACATTGTTATTCTGTTTTTTAAACAAAAGTAATTTAACGCCTTCCAGATAAGCTCAACTTTCATATGTTGTCACCTGAGGCCAGAGAGAGTATCGGTGGGAAACCAACTGGTATAAATAGATATGGTTATCTGCTCTCTAAGTGTCTTTGGGCCTGTGAATTGATGGCTCTATAGCCAGATTTCCCAAAGTTTGTAAGAGGGTTTCTGTTCTGCTGAAGCTTTTACCTGTGCATTAAAAAACTCAGAGTCACTTCCTTCATATAAGAAGTCTTAAGTTTGCCTTTTTACTCAAAGAGATCAATAAATCCAGCTCTTGATTTTATTCTAAGCATTCATTCGCCACTAATACAAAACTGAATGAAAAATACTTTTTTTCTTACTCTCAAAGAAGAAATCATCATCAGAACAAAAGGTTCCACATATTTAGTGCCAACAAAGCCATGTTGTTTCATGTGCATTATTTCATCTAATTCATACCAAGATCCTATGACTTTGATACTGTTATTATTTGCATCATGTAATAGAAGAGGCTCCTGAAACTTTTGTTTAAAAACCAGAATAGTAAATTAATATTCACAGCAAATAAGAGGTGGAAAAAAGATTTAAACTCAGTTCTTTCTTACTTCAAAACCCTGATTTTTCCATTAACTTACACTGTCTTTCAAAAATAATAGTTAATTAGCACATATTACAGAGAAATAGAGCTGAACTGGAGGTCAAATTATGTAAGCTAAATGCCCACACTTTATTTGTAAAGTGAAGAACCACTTGATAAGAGGATGACAGAAAAGGACAATTTGGTAAGAAGACCTTTATCTGAGTTCAATTCTTAGGGCTAAAAACTAAAATGCGTGGGTAGGACATGTATTCTTGTCCCACATCCATGAATTATTACTATGTGAATTTAAGGTAGTTACTGATTTTCATAAGTTGTTTCCTCGGCAAGCTGACCTGTGACAAAAATTTGTGAGCAAGTTTTTCTTTTCTTCTTTTTTTTTTTTTGAATCATCCTAGATATCTTAGTAGGGAAATAGGAAGTCAATGCCGGTCACAGTGTAGGCAAACAGGGTTCAGTCCCACTTGAGATCTTTGGGAGTTTGCAAAGGACAATTAAAACCTCATGTCTCCCAGGAAGAGTGAAGAAGCCGGAGCATTTCTCTACCAACTCCTGTCCATCACAGAGCAGGGAATGCTCTAGAAGTATTAATCCCTATCATTTCTGGGCTGCTCCATGGAGGTGAGCCTGCTCCAATTGCAAAACTCTCAGTCAAATGTCACAAGTTCTGGAAGCAGAAAACCATGAATGTATATAAAAATGGTAAGTGCTAAGGACATACAGATAAGGTGCTGACATTGCCTATACTCACAAAATCCAAAATTTTCTGTCCATAAAACAGGAATAATAACTCATGGTCTGTCCAGTGTAAATATTTTTCAGGCATAAATAACATGAATACTAAAATGGTTTGAAGGAAAAATTTTAACCAAATGCTATTTGTTGTTATTTTTGGTTAAATCATTAAGCTTTTGTGGTAGCAAAATCTTATTAAATTACCTTAAGTGGCTCCCTTCCATGATGACAAATCTAGCATTTCTCATTTCATCTCTTTGCTAAGCTGATGAGAGATACACATACGTGATTGCCTTCCTCTTTTTTTGAGACAGAGTCTCACTCTGTCGCCCAGGCTGGAGTGCAGTGGCGCGAGATCGGCTCACTGCAACTTCTGCCTCCCGAGTTCAAGCGATTCTCCTGCCTCAGCCTCCTGAGTAGCTGGGACTACAGGCGTGCACTACCACACTTGGCTAATTTTTTGTATTTTTAGTAGAGACAGAGTTTCAACGTGTTAGCCAGGGTGGTCTCGATCTCCTGACCTTGTGATCGGCCCGCCTCAACCTCTCAAAGTGCTGGGATTACAGGTGTGAGCTACTGCTCCCGCCCATAAGTGATTGTCTTTCAAGGAATTTACTTTTGGACTTTTCAATTTAGGAGAAGAGTTTTTTCTTACGATATGTTCAGGAAACAATTTAAAAAGACATTCTTGGGGAAGAATGCCTCAGTCATCTTTGGGTATCCCTGGTAAGTACTATATATGTTAAAGGTGATTCATAAATATTTGATAGATACATGAATGAAATGTACAAAGTTTTATATGCTAAAGGCTTTAAAAGTGTGTACTTCTAAGTTTATTATTATTATTATTTTGTGACAGGGTCTCACTGTCCCCCAGGCTGGAGTTCAGTGGTGCGATCACAGTTCACTGCACCTTCCACCTCCTGGGCTCAAGTGATCCTTCGACCTCAATCTCCTGGGTAGCTAGGACTACTGGCATGCATCAACATGCCTGGCTAATTTTTAAATTAATTGTAGAGATGGGCCCCACCATGTTGCCCAGGCTGGGTCTTGAGCTCCTGGACTAAAGCGATCATTTCACCTGAGCCTCCCAAAGTGCTGGGATTTACAGGCGAGAGCCACTGTGCCCAGCCAAGTTTATTATTTTTAACATATTTGATCATTACTTTTTTCTGACCTCCAATTTAGTGCTAGTATTTCATAAGAACATTTTTAAAATGGCTTTTCTTATACTTGATTCATTACAATCAAAGGAACAGGCATGCTCCCCACCTTGAACAAAGGAGAACTTGCCATCATTTGTTTATCTGAAAGATACTGCTGACATTTGATTGTTTACTGCTTAAAAGATTTAAAAGATTATATTCCCACACCTGGAGAGATTCATAAAACTCTTGTTAACTCAGTTGTTGTATGTGCTCACAGTAGCCTATTGTCAAACACTGGGTAAACATATCTAAGTGATGTCAGAAACATTTTGGGGATCATAACCAATTTCCAAGGAATTAATTATGTTGTCAAACAATAAAATGTGTGTTGGAATGGATGGGACCTAGCAGCATCATGGTCTTCGTAAGCAATTTAAAATTTCAGGCATGAAATGGAGATTAGAAGAGGCTAAAGAATAGAGCCAAGGAGTCAAACATTGAGGCCCTTGAAAAACAAAAACATACCGAGCTGTTTTTGATACATAAAATTTAAGGGATTTTTAGCTTGGACATAATATATCTAAAATAATATTATGGGCTGGGCGTGGTGGCTCACGCCTGTAATCCCAGCACTTTGGGAGGCCGAGGCGGGTGGATCACGAGGTCAGGAGATCGAGATCATCCTGGCTAATACGGTGAAAGCCCGTCTCTACTAAAAACAAAAAACAAAAAATCAGCCGGGCGTGTTGGCGGGCACCTGTAGTCCCAGCTACTTGGGAGGCTGAGGCAGGAAAATGGCGTGAACCGGGGAGGCGGAGCTTGCAGTGAGCCGAGATCGCACCACTGCACTCCAGCCTGGGTGACAGAGCAAGACTCCGTCTCAAAATAATAATAATAATAATAATAATAATAATAAAATAAAATAAAAATAAAAAATAAAATAATATTATGAAATAATATATATATAATTATATTATATGTTTCAGGTAGTAAAATTTTCCAGGCTAGCCATCAACTGCACCATTAAAACTAAAACTGGAAAAGATACATGATGTATTTCAGGCTCCGGCAATATGCAGTGCACCATGAGATCGCTAAGAGACGGGGAGCTCACAGGTGAGACCCATTGCTTAGATATCTATCTATGGGAAATTTCTCATCATATAGGGATAATGTCTGAGCAGGACACTGCTGTATTCTGAGCTGAGAACGTGGAGATCAGAGATGGGGCAGCTGAGTCTGAGAGGTGTATGTTACAGACTGAACATTTGTGTCCTCCCGTATTAGTCTGTTTCTGCTACTATAACATAAATACCTTAGACTCGCTGGTTTATAAACAACAGGAATTTATTTCTCATATTTCTGGAGTTTGGGAAGTTGAAGATCAAGGCACCGAAAAGTTTGGTGTTGGCGAGGGCCTGTTCCTCATTGATGACACGTTCTATGTGGGCTTACACAGCAGAAGGGTCAATGAAGCTCCCTTCAACCTCTTTTATAAGGGCACTTAATCACTTCCCACAAGGTTTCTTCTCTTAATCTTAGCACTTTGAGCATTGTATTCCAACATTTGAATTTTGGGGGACAACAGTCAGATCATAACACTCCCCCCAAAAATTGGTATGTTGAAATCCTAACTCCCAATGTGATGGTATTAGGAGGTCGGGCCTTTGGGAGATAATTAAATTATTAAGGTAAAGACCTCATGAATGGGATTGGTGTCCTTACATAAGAGATCTTAGAGAGCCTCTGACCATTATTTTTCCCTGCCATGTCGGGATACAAAGAAAAGTCAGCAGTCTACAACCTGGAAAAGAGCCTTCAATAAACACATAATCTGCCAGTACCTTGATCTTGAACTTCCCAGCCTGCAAAACTGTGAGAAATAAATTTCTGATGTTTATAAGCCAACCAGTCTATGACATTTTAATTTTTTATAGCAGCCCAAACTGACTAAGACAGTGGTGAACCAAAGAGGGCCCCAGAAATCCATATGGGGTCTCCCCCATGTTTGTTGCTGAGGGCTATATTGTGTATGTACAGAATGGATTACCTGAGCCTTACCAGAGTAAACTTCTGTAGATTTGAAAGCAGGGGAGATATTAGTCATCAGGCAGTGCTTAGAGAAGGGTAATGGGAAAGGACATGGGATCCTGTCCCTGGCAGAGTGGACAGGATCCTGTATTAACTTATTTCCAATATGGCAATATTTAGGATACAATAAAGGCTGTGACTTCAGAGTAAAGATCACACAGACAAGTAAGATGTATTCTCCGCATAAAGAAAGCCTAAAATTAAGACTTGGTAAGATTTTTAGCTTAGATAAAGTGCCATTCACTCCTTCAGAAGTTAAATACCTTGCTCTTTCTATAGATGCCCACTAATAAAATATAAAAACTAACATATACAAGGTAATCAGACCATAATTGAACATATAATTTCAACATACACTTTTGCCATAAGGTAAAAACAACCCATATTTCAGTCAACAGATGAATGCATAAGGATATCATGGTGTTTCCATATAATGAAATACTACTCAGCAATATAAAGGAAAGAAATACTGATTGCCAAGACAAAACAAATAAACCTCAGAAACATTATGCAGAGTGAAGGAAGCAAAACACAAAGCATAAACACTGTATGATTCACTTATATGGACTCTCAAAAAGACAAAGTAATATAGGAACCAAAAGCAGACAAGTGGTTTACTAGTTTAGTTTTGTCTCATTTGTTTTTTGTGACACTGAGTATGTTGAAAGTGAAGAGATGCACAATTTATTTTCATGGTTAAACAAATGTTACATATCTTGACTACAGTGGTGAAAACATGGGTTTTATGGACCGAACTGTGTACCCCCAGAACTCATAAGTTGAAGCTCTAACCCAAAACATTACTGTATTTGGAAATCTGGCCTCTATGGAAGTAATTAAAGCTAAATGAAATCATAAGGATGTGGCCTTCATTCTGTAGGATTAGTATACTTATAAAGAGGCATCAGGTTCTTATTTCTCTCTGTGTCTCTCTCTGTCTCTGTCTCTGTCTCTCTCTCATAAGGACACAGAGAGAAGGTGGCTGTCTGCAAATGAGGAACAAAGACTTCACTGAAAACTGAACCTCGATCTTAGATTTCTAGCCTCCAGAACTGTGTGAAAATAAATATTTGTCATTTAAGCCACCCAGCCTATGATACTTTTGTTATGGCAGCCCAAGGTGGTGAATACAATGGGCAACTACATTTATTAAGACATATTAAACACTTTTTAAATGTGTGTGAATTTTATTTTATATTAACTATACTTCAATAAAATTGATTAAAAGATGCTCTAAGGACAGCACACTGTTAGCAATGTGATTGAATGAGAAATAAAGCTGGAGATGGCTGCACAATGCCTAGTTATTGTCTGTATAGAAGTTCAATGGAAAGGACCAAACAACAACAAAACTAATCTGGAATTTTGGCAGAAGGAAGAAAATGGGCACAAAACCCCTACAATATCCAGAAGTTATAATCACTATATTTTACAGTTTGACAGGCTGGGTTGTGATGAAGAAGATGAATGGGTTTTGAGTGGTATCCAAGCTTCAGGATTAAATGACTAAGTGAATGATAATGACATTATTTGAAATACGGGGAACCATGTAACTTGCAGGTGGAAAGGAAGGTGCATTTATTTTGGGTATAATGGATTTGAGTGGCCTTGGGATGTTCGAAAAGAGATGCCTCTGTGGCACTGACTATAGAGCTTTGAATTTCAGAAAAAAAATATTGTACCTGCCTATAAATTACAAAGTCATTAGCATAAAACTGAGAATTATAATCATAAGAGTGAATGAGATCACCCAGTTGGAGATGCTAGAAAAAAGGACAGAAATTAGCTGTGAACACATAAAAATATGAATATTTAGGAGACAGGCAGAGGAAGTCAAGTCCATGAAGGAAGCAAAGAAAGATAAAAGAGTGAATTTAAATAAAGGTAGTGTCACAGAAGTCAAGAGAATAGAGAATTTTGAGGAGGACAACATCAATAATGTCAAAAGCAACGGAAAAACCTACTAAAAGAGTCCATTTAGATCTAAAACACATTTATTGGATTTGGCTCTAAGAACTGGGAATGGCCAAGGACAAAAGAAAGAAATCCTGGGCTAAAAGCTAAGTTATCCGCATTCACATCCAGACTCTAGGTAATTGCTGTGCAGTACAGAACAAATTCCTTTGCCCCCGTGAATCTGAACACCCTCTTCTTCAAAATGAGATGATGAAATATAGGTTGTAGGAAGGATGAAATGCAATAATGATCATGGGAACATTTTCTTCCTTCTGATGTTTTACCCATATAAGCTATTTAATGTACTTCTCTACTTTGTGAGGAAGGAATAATGAATGAGAAATATATTCATTTTAAGTTCATCAATCAGGAGAAGCTAGACTATGCTGCAGTAACTAAATATCAAACTTCTTCATAGCTTAACACAATTAAACTTTATTTTAAACTATATTAAGCTTTATATTTTCAACACAAGTTGGTAGTGGGTTTGTGTCCACACATCACCCTATGCCATTTTATGATGCAATCACACACATGTGCCGTGACGTTCACTGTGACACAGAAAGAGAAAGCTGAAAAATCAAATATTGTCAATTAAATGCTTTGGCCTGGTGAAACAGGTAAATTCCCTGATCCCCCTCACAGGTTGGGTGGCGGGGGTGTGGCCTACCTGTTTGGTCACTGCTGCTGCTGCTCAAAGCCCTGACGAGAAGGGGAACATACAGAGGAACAGGTGCAGGAGCCTAAGTGGGCATGTGTTACAGTGTGCCTGCAGTCCATGGATGGCTTGAGTGTTAACCAGTTCAGTGGACGCTCTGCCTTTCTGCAAGGGCAGAGGGCCAGTGTGACAGCCTTCTGTATCCTGAGCTCTTGTCCAGCGTCCTGGAGGAATTTGTTCACACACGGACTGAAAGGATGGATACGGGGGTTTTATTGAGTGGTGGAGGTGGCTCTTGGCAGCATGGATGGGGAGCCAGAAATGGTGATGGAGTGGGGAGATGATCTTCTTCTGGAGCCTGGCCGTCTAACAGTCAAACTCCTCTCCCACCACCCCCAGCTGAATTCCTCTCAGCATTCAGATGTTCCTCCTCCTCTCTCTTTCTCTGTCACATCATTCTGCCCTTTATCTGCATGCCTCCTTGTCTCTTTGTCTGCTCATCTGCCTCTGGAACCTGGGGTTCAGAGTTTATATGGGTACAGGATAGGGGGCAAGGTGGACAAAAGGCAACTGTGGGGCATAAAACAGAAACACCTGTCCCTATGTAGGGCCGTGGGTCTCCAGGCTTGAAGGTGGGTCCTTTCTCAGGGGACTACTCTCTTCTACCCATTGTTTCTCTGTCTCCTGTCCATATCAATGGAAGTGGCAGGCCACTTCTTCTCATGTATTCTATTGACAAAATATTAGATATTTAATCATCCCAATTTCAGGAAATTAGGAAATTTTAATTTTCCCATGTACTTTCAAGAAGACAAGAACTATAATTTTTATGGATACCTAGAACTTCTATTACAATACCCTAAAATAGTATTATAATTTATGGTCACTAGAAAGACATTAAAAGAGATGTACATAATTATGGCCTCATTCAATGCAGGACAACATTCAATGTCCTTAATGTTGTTACTTCCAATATTTAACAATGTCCTTCGACTTTTCAGAAAAGCTTAATCTTTCCACTTATGTTGTATATGAGTTGACTGGTCATACAGAAAGACTTTATAGTACCGTGGAAAGAACATGGATGTTGGGTAAAATATGCATGCATGTGAATTCTAGATACATGTTGTAACTATAGGCAAAATATTTAAACTCTCCAAAATTTGTCATTTTATTTGCATCATAAAGATAATATATAAACTTCAGAATTTTTTGCCTGAAAATGAAATGAGGCAAATAAAATTACTGAGTATGATACCTTGCACAGAATTAGTAAAGTACTTCCTCCATTTACCTTTTTTCCCCCTACCACCCCTAATCTAGTCAGACCCATTGGGTTTAGAGATGATTGAGAACCTTGTTTAGTATGTCCACTTATAGAATGAGTTCATTTCACCTTCCTTGAGGAGTTGATTGAAAGTTGCATTAAATAAATGTATTTTGAATTCTAAGAGAGTTATACCTTTGGGCCATGTTCCACCTTTCTCTAGCTCCGAAGGATGTACTTCATAGGCAAGAAGGACAGATTGTTATCTCTGAGATAGCGAGTTTCTGATTTAGAAGGACTTACAGATGCATGCTCTTTGGCTTACTCTTCTGTGCCTTTTGTGGAACTGGTGAGAGTTAGACTATGAAGCTCTATGGCAATGCTATCCCAGATCTTAGGCATCATTTACCTAGTCTACCATGCACACTTTACTCATACACTTCCACAGGCAGGCACTAGGAGCAGAGATGTGGAATGCATTTGAAAAAAAGTTTTATTATGGTTTGTGTGCTGCTTTAATTTAATCCCAATTTTCCCTGAAACCATGAAAATGTCAACATTTCAATCAAAATTTTAGGTCAAGCACTTTAATTGTTAATAACCAGTTGTTAACCAGTCAGTTATTTGGTGTGTTACCGAATTACTGAAATCATGGAAAGCAACACTTATCTTTTTGTTGTAAAAGGAAATTGGCTTTTTGAGGGAAAACAATTATATCGCTTCCCATAGCTCCTTCAGGTTCTCGTATAACTTGTTCTACTGCATTATCTCAGCAGTGACTGTTGATAAAATGGCAAGCATCTTCTTAAAACCCAAGAAGCATGGTTGGCAAATGATACTGCTTTAGTGGGACACAGATGCCCAATCTTGATATTTGGCCATTTGATATATGTCTGACATCTGGGCTTTGACCAATTTAACACATAATTATATATCTAAAGTTAGGAAAGAGATACTCAAAAGTAAGTCTTGCTCCTGTTTCCAAACACTCAGAATCAAGAATCAAGGACCAGGCATGTCCCAACAGACTGTCACTGATCTACATCAACAGTAATTCAAGCTCCCTGGAGGGAAATCACCTCTTTGTGTGTTTTTTGGAAAATAAGTAATTTGTATTATTACTCTAAAAATGTAGTTGAAGTATAAAGATGCAGTTACCCCTTTTCATTGCAATAACTTACCCAAGTAACATATCACAAACTAAATAAAACACAGATTTTTAAAAGACGCTCAACACTTAAAAAAATTTAACCAATTTACATTAACATTTTTATGACAATATCACCTTCAATTTTAAAAGCAACTGTAAATAGAAACCACTGTGAACACAAAGTCCAGATTCATTTTCACAAATATTTTTCTTCATTGTTTTTTAAAGAGATAAAAAGTAACCCACGTATATTCAAATTAAACGGGTTTTTAATTAATTGAAAGCTGAAGGGTTGATTAATAAGAAGTACGGACTAATCCTTCTAATCCTTAAGCAGATTATCTAGAAATAGATTTCTGATGGTCATAGACAGTGCATCACAAAAATACTGGAGTGCCTGTTTTAAAAAATGTAACTGTGCTTTAAAAAATAAACAAACAAAATCCTGCAACCAAAACCAAACAACTCCACAGTATTTGCTAAAATATAAATAATTCAAATTTAATTGATAAACTACATGCTTAATTGTAGTATTATGTTACAGTGACAGAAGTTGATCATTGTCATCTCTGGAATTTTTTCTAGAGTTGTTCTTTATTACTGAGCTATATTAGTCAGGGTTATCTAGAGAAACAGAACCAACCGTTTGTATGAGGGTGGGCTGGAGACAGAAGGAGAGAGAGAGACAGGAGAGAGGAGAGAGAAAGAGAGAAAGAGAGATTAAAGAGAGACCCAGAGACTTTAAATAATTGGCTCACATGACTGTGGGTGCTGGCAAGTCCAAAATTTGCAGTGTGGGCCGGTAGGCTAGGGACTCAGAAAACAGCTGATATTGCAATTTTGAGTCTGCAAGTAGTCGGGAAATAGAATATTTTCTTCCTCAGGGGACCTCAGTCTTTTTTTCTAAGACCTTCAACTGTGGGGACTACCCACATTATGGAGGGTAATCTGCTTTATTCAGTGTCTACTGAGATAAATGTTAATCACATCAAAAATACCTCCACAGCAACATTCATACCAGTTGACTGACCAAATACCTGGACTCCATAGTATATCCAGGTTGACACACATAAATAGCCATAACATGAACATATCATCTTGTGTTTGTTGGTAAGGATGGTTTGATATTTTCATTATTATTTTTTAAAGTTTCTTGTAGGCTTTTTGGACTGTGTCAAAGCCTCTCCAAAAAATAAATGCATAATTCTTGATTGCATCAATGGTAAAGATGAATCAGTTTTCTTTAGTGTGAAATTAATTAATATGGAATCCATAAGGAATGTAGGCTAATCAGCTCTATAGTCTCAGTTTCATAATTGCTATGTAGTTACCTGGGTTCAGAAATTTTAACAATGCAAAACAAAGCAGACTATAAAACAACAAACAGGAAACTCTGATATTGCAGATTTTAAATTATCTTCCTAAATAAAAAAAAAAAGGAGTGACATCAGCAAGAGAGCAGAAGAGGGGATCCCAGCCTTTGTCACCACCAAGGGAAAGACCTTCATGTGAGTGCTAGGGGCCTTTTTGTTGATGAAAGTCAACAATTAGACATCTAGCCATAAATGAAAATATCCCTAGAGAATTCAGGAGTCCATTTAAGAAGCTGTAACAACACAGTGGGACAACCACATTTGAGAATAGCGGCACAAAACAAATAGGAAGAAGTAGTTTCATTTACCCTGCATTATCTCATCCCTCAGGTCAGCACAGCACTGAGTGGGAATGCCCAACCCATGAGTTCCCTTCACAGGGAAAAGGAGAGAAAGATGAGTAACCAATTTCCCTAGCTTTTTGGAATACTTTCCAAAGGACCCACTTTGATTATACTCTATTCAGATTGCAAGGGAAATTAAAATAGCTGAGACATCTGAAGACAGCTAAGAACAAAGATGAAAGGCAAGGATTATCAGTTTCAGCCACATAGCAGGTCCCCGACTATCTCCAGTGGTCTACTCTACGGAGAATCCCAACAGCATTTGCCACTGAGGGCCTCAAAATCCCTCATAGCTTATGTGCATCCTCTGCAGCTTTCACTGCTGAGGAACCCCCAGGGTTCACCATCATGGACCACAAAGAGCTGCGCCACAGAGGAAACCAAGAATTTTCACTGGTAAGGAAACCAACAGCCAGCACAGCCTCTGTGGACTACTCAGTCTTTACCAGGGAGGGCCCTGCAGTTTCTTTGCCTTCTCTGTCTGAGCCATGCCTCTCCCTCCACACTCTCTGGAGCTGCTCCAGCTGGTGCTGCCAAGTGTGCTTTTGCCCCAGAATCTAGCAAGGTCACTGCATTTGTGTCTGCAAATGGCCTAGACGTTTACTTGTGGTCCCAGTTCCCACTTCTGTATGGGTATACGAAGCTGTCTCCTACAGACACATGCATGCCCATCACCAGCCCCAATTTCTGCAGCACTGTGTGTCCACACAGCCAATCTAACCACTGTCAACAATCCCCACCACCATGTGCTAGTTCATAGCTGTCCCTTACAGCTGCACATGTGCATATTTCTAGCCTCGGCCCCAGGAGCTACTTTATGCACATAACGGGCCTAACCCCTATTGCCAGCCCTCCCAATCACACATGTTCCTGGAAATGGCCCTTGCAGTCATGTACTTGCTTGCCACTAGCCCCAGTCCCTGTAACAGCCTATGCAAGCCACAGGACCCTGCTGCTGCTAGCTATGCATGTGCTCACAAGTGACCCCTGCTGCTATGTACATGCCTACAGCTAGCCAGCCCCTACAACAGAGACTGTATACACTACTGTCCCCAGTCTCCACAACCAGTAGCACTAACCCCTCATTACTGATCCCAGAGATGCTACCGAAGACCCCAAAAGACCTTACAGCCACTGCAGACCCCTGAAGCAGCCCTCACTGCCAAAAACCATGCAGATGTTGCAGACTCCAGCTGCTTGAGTTAATGAGACACTGTGACGCCGTGGATTGAGAGCCTCTGCATGACCCCATACTTTGTGTCTGGTAACACAGCACACTCCAGCCAGGCTCCCACCCCACAGGTAAGCGTCTTTCCTTACCAAAGCAATCTATGAGGTCTGTAAGAGGTTACTATTTATTTGAACGTGTAGACATCTTTGCAAGTCTTCAAGAGTTGTAAGAAATCAGAAAAACATGACATTACCAAAGGAATAAAATAAAATTCTAATAAGCAAACCCAAAGAAATAGAGTTCCACAAATTCCCTAAGAATAATTCAAAATAATTGGTTTAAAGAAGCTCAGTTAATATGAGATACATATAAACAATATAATAAAATCTGGAAAACAATACAAGAAAAAATAACAATTTCAAGAGATATAAAACATTAAAAACCAAAAAGAAATTTTGGAACTAAAAAATACAGTAACTAAAATAAAAAATGCAGTATATTCTCACTTATAAGTGGTAACTGAATGATGGGAACATAGGAACACGGGTGGGGAACAATACAAACTGGGTCCTCTTGGGAGATGCTGGAGGAGGGAAAGCATCAGAAAGAACAGCTAATGCATGCTGGGCTTAATATCTAGGTGATGGGTTGATATGTGCAGTAAACCACCATGGCACACGTTTACCTATGTAACAAACCTGCACATCCTGCACAAGTACCCTGGAACTTTAAATAAAAGTTGAAGAAAAAAAAAATAAACCACCTTAAAAAAATAACAAAAAAAATGCAATAGAGAGCTTCAAGCAGAAGAATCAGCAAATATAAAGACAGATCATTTGAACTTGTCTAATCATAGGAGAAAATGGAAAAAAAATGAAAAGGGATTTTAAAACATCTATGAGATTTTATGGAACACCATTAATAGACTTAATATTCACATTATAGAGATTATAGTGGAGAAAAGACAAAATGAGGGCAATAAACTTGTTTTAAAGATAATGGGCTGGGCGCGGTGGCTCACGCCTGTAATCCCAGCAGTTTGGGAGGCCAAGGTGGGCAGATCACCTGAGGTCAGGAGTTCAAGACCAGCCTGGCCAACATGGTGAAACCCTGTCTCTACTAAAAATACAAAAATTACCCAGCCATAGTGGCAGGTGCCTGTAATCCCAGCTACTTGGAAGGCTGAGGCAGGAGAATCCCTTGAACCTGGGAGGTGGAGGTTGAGTGAGCCAAGATTGCACCATTGCACTCCAGCCTGGGCAACAGAGCAAGACTCTGTCTTGAGTGATAATAATAATAATAATAATAATAATGATGATGGCTGGAGACTTGCCAAATCTGGGGAGACATATGGATATCTAGGTACATGAAGCTAAAAATTCTCCAATCAAGTTCAACTAAAGGTAGACTTCACCAAGACATATTATAATAACACTGTCAACATCAAAGACAGAGAGTTTTGAAAAAAGCAGGAGAAGTGAGTTTCACCACATGCAAGGGAAATCTTATCAGGCTTTTAGTAGACATCAATAGAAACTTAACAGGCCAGGGAGAGAGAGAGATAATATATTCAAAGTGTTTACAGAAAATAACAGCCAACCAACAATAATTTACCCAGCAAAGCTATCTTTAGAAATGAGGGAGAGATATAGATTGTCCTGTGAAACAAAATCAGAGGGAATTAATCACCACTAGACCTGCCTTTAAAGAAATGCCGAAGGGAGATCTTTAAGATGAAACCAAAGAATGCTGCTTAGTAATATAAAAACATACGGAAGTATAAAATGAATTGGTAAAAATAAATATATAGTCAAATTCAGAATATCCTAATACTGTAATGTTGGTGTATAAATCACATATAACTGCAGTATAAAGGCTAAAGGACAAAGTTATAAAAATAACAATAGCTACAATAATTTGTTAATGGACATATTATATACACAGTTGTAATTATGACATCAAAAACAAATAATATGTGGTGAGGAGTAAAACACATGGCTTTTGTATATGATCAATGTTGTTATCAGTATAAAATATACTGTTCTAACGTAAGATGTTTTATGTGAGCCTCATGCTATCTACACAGCAAAAACGTATGGTAGATAAATGCAAGATAAAGAGAAAAGGATCAAAGAATCCCATGACAGAAAATCGTCAAATCACAAGGAAATACAGTAAGGAAGGGGAAAAAAAAAAAAAAAGCAAAGAATCAACAAAGCAGACAAAAAGCAATCAACAAAAAATGGGAGTAGTAAGTCCTTACCTCTCAATAATTATGTTGAATGTAAAGTGAATTAAATTCTCTAATCACAATACATAGAACGGATGGCTAAAACCAATACTCAACCATATGCCGCTTAAAGAAAGTCACTTTAGCTTTAACTACACACGTAGACTGAAAGTGGAGATATGGAAAGAGATATTTCACTCTAATGTAAATCAAAAGAAAGCAAGTGATGCTATTCTTATAGTAGTCAAAATAGACTTTGTCAAAATCTTTTACAAAAGACAAAGATGGTCATTATGTATTGATAAAGGGAATAACTCCACAAAATGATATAATAATTATAGATATTAATATATATGTATCCAATGCTACAGCACATAAATACATAAAGCAAATACTAACAGATAGTACATGACTGCATTACCCCACTTTCAACAATTGATTGAGCACCCAGACAAAAAATCAATAAGGAATCATTGGACTCGAACCAAAGTTTAAACCAAATGGACCTACAGACATATATAGAACATTCCATCCCACAACAACAGAATACACATCCTTCTCCAGTGCACAAAGAACATTCTCCAGGATAGAATATACATTAGGCTACAAAATAAATCTTAACACATTTAATAAGAATTTTGAAATGATTTAAGCATCTATTGCAGCCACAATTGTATGAAATTAGTAATCAAGAATATGAGGAAAATTGGAAAACTGACAAATATGTACAAATACACTTCTGAATAACCATCGAGTCAAAGAAACCAAAATAGACTATTTTTAAAAAGTTTGGATTCAAATAAAAATTGAAATCACAATATACTAAAACTTATTAGATGCAGGAAAAGCATCTCATACATTCTAAGAGACAAATTTATAGTGATAAAGGCCTACATTAGGAAAACAAGAAAGATCTCATGTAAACAACCTGAGTTAATACTTCAAGGAACTAGAAAAAAACTAAACACAAAGTCCTCAGAATGAAGGATATAATAAAAATAAAAAAATACATAAACAAAATAGAGACTAGAAAAACAATACAAAAGTTCAATAAAACTAAGACTTGGTTTCTTGAAATGGACAAAATTGACAAACTTTGGCTACATTAAGAAAAAAGAGACATGTCTCAAATATACCAAAATAAATCAAAAGTGAAAGAGGAGACATTATGACCATCACACAGAAATATAAAGGATCGTAGGAGACTGCTTTGAACTATCATGTGACAACAAATTGGATAACCTAGAATTAATGGATAGATTCTAAGAAAGCTACAACCTATCAAGAGTAAGTGATGAAAAAAGAGAAAATCTGAACAGACCAATAATGAGTGAGGAGATTGAATCAGTAATCAAAAATCTTTCATCAAAGAAAAGTCCAGGACCACTTGGCTTCACTGGTAAATTCTAGCAAACATAAAAATAAAAATAAATAAATAAACTAACGCTGAGTCTCCCCAAACTCTTTCAAAAAGTTAAATAGAACACAACACAGTCAAACTCATTTTATAAGGCTAGCATTGCCCTAATACTAAAGCCAAACAAGAAAACTAAAATAACATTATAGATCAATATCCCTGATTCACATAAATGAAAAAATTCTCAATAAAATGCTAACAAACCAAATTCAACAATACATTAAAAGTATCATTCACTTTGATTAAATTGCATTTATCTCTAGGATCCAAAGGTGTTTTGATATATACAATTCAATAAATGTGATATACCCCATTAACAAAATGAAGGATAAATGATATGATCATCTCAGGAGACGCAGAAAAAGCATTTGACAAATTTCAACATTCCTTCAGCAAAAACTCTAAAAACACTGATATAGAAGAAATTTACCTCAACATAATAAAGGCAATATATGTTATACACACAGCTAATGTTATACTCAGCAGTGAAAATCTTAAAGCATTTCCTCTAAGACAATGAACAAGATAAGACAAGTACCCTCCCATCCGCCTCTACTCAACATTGTCCTAGAAGTTCTAAGGAGAGCAATTAGGCAAGAAAAAGAAATAAAAGTCATCAAAACAGGAAAGAAAAAAGTAAAACCGTCTCTTTGCAAATGACACGAATCTACACATAAAAATCCTTTAGGTTATCTTTGACACCACCCAAAAAAAAAAGGCGGGGGAGAAAGAAAAATAAAGTGTTATCAGTGAAAAATAAATAAGCTCAGTAAAGTTTTAGGATACAAAATCAATATCCAAAATTCAGTTGTGTTTCTATACACGAATAATAAACTATCTGAAAAATAAATTAAGAAAGACATCTTGTTTATTGTGGCATCAAAATGAATAAAATACTTAGGGATAAATTTAACAAGGAGGTCAATGAGCTGTACACTGAAAACTATAAGAAACTGATGTAAAAAACTGAAGAAGACACAAATAATTGAAAAAGTATCTTGTGTTCATTGATTGGAGTAATTAAAATGTCTATGCTACCTAAAGTGATCTATAGATTGAAAGTAATCCCTATTAAAATTTCAATAATATTACTCACAGAAAAATGAACAGTTTTAAAATTTACACAGAGCCATGAAAGACTCCAAATAGATAAAGCAATCTCAAGGAAAAAATAACAAAGCTGCTGGCATAGTACTCCCTAATTTCAAATTATATTACAAAGCTATAGCAATTAAAGTGGTGTGGTACTAAAATAAAAACAGGTACATAGACCAATGGAAGAGAGTGAGCCGAGATTGTGCCACTGCACTCCAGCTTGGGCGATAGAGCCAGACTCCGTCTCAAAAAAAAAACACACCACACCATCCCATTTCCTCTTCCATCACTTGGTGATAAGAAACATCCACCTCCCCATATAGACATAGGTATAAGCAGAGGGTGAGGCACAAGCACAACAGTAGCAGGTAGTTTCAAACTGCCTGCTTTTGCAGCTTACCTGGGCTTTTTATTCTTCTTATTGGATCCTGGTTGTTCTGCTTCCAATTTGTGTTGAACTCACCCGACCTTAACACTTGATGGGTCTAAAGGAGCTCAGCTCATAAAGAATATTTTTACTTGTCCTAAATTTAAATAAAAGAAATGGCCCTCTGTTCCCCTTCAGCCAATACGTGACTGCGGGCCACCCATAGGAGAAGGTACAAGGCTGTTTCCTGCAGCTGAGTGAACCGAATAATGAAAGACACAGCTGTGGGCCATCAACAGCAGATATTCCCAGCAGCTGTGTGTAGTTTTTCTTGACCACGAAGAGAGGATCTTGGTGCAACACTACAGAATCCACTACAAAGAATATGTATTACACGTTTTGACTACCAGATTAAAGATGACGGTACAAATATCACAGTTTAACTAGTTGAGCAAACCTCAAATCTAAAGGAATTTGCATTTTTACTTAATTTTGAAATATTAATGGGCACATATGGTGGGAGAGATGAAATTATATAAAGAAGTCAGCATTTGTAATGCATAGAGTCAAAAAGGGGTGATGCATACTTTAATAACAGTAAAACTGCCACGCTCTTCTGCTTTGTTGAGAATTTTTTTCAAAGAGAAAACTCTTATTTATTTCTAACAACCTAGCTTATATATATATCTTCATATATAATGCTTTCCCTGAACATATGTTCTAGTCTAACTTAAATGCCTTTCTCTCTCATTTCCTGAGATTTCCTCTACTTAGGTTCTAACATTCAGTTAGAAGTTAGCACTCTGGGCTGGATGCAGTGGCTCAGGCCTCTAATCCCAGCACTTTGGAAGGCCGAGGCAGGCAGGTCACCTGAGGTCAAGAGTTTGAGACCAGCCTGGCCAAAATGGCGAAACTCCATCTGTACTAAATATACAAAAATCAGCCGGGCATGGTGGCAGGTGCTTGTAATCCCAGCTACTCGGGAGGCTGAGACATGATAATCGCTTGCACCTGGTAGGTGGAGGTTGCAGTGATCTGAGATCACGCCAATGCACTCCAGCCCGGGGGATGGGGCCAGACTCTGTCTCAAAAAAAAAAAAAAAACAGAAGAAGTTAGCACTCTGCAAGAATACTATGATTCCATTGAGGATGGAGAATATTTTTATTTATCTCTATCTACTCAGTGTCTATAGTAGTCTACTGCCTATAGTAGGTGCCATGGCTTTTTTTGATGATTGAATAAATGCATGTAGCTTTCTGGGCAGAAATGCAGACAGACAGTATGTGGATGAACTGAAATACAGTAACACATATATATTACTTTCTGTTATCTAGTGCTGGGACTATGAAACGTTAGCAATGAGGAATCAGAAGCTATAAAGGAGGAAGAGCCAAAGGTGGATTAAAAGAAGAAAGATGGTTAGTCTGTCTTAACACTCATGACATATACCCTACTGACTGCCTTCACCTGTGTCTAGGTTTTACTTTAATTCTCATTTTAAAAAGTGTCGGCCAGACACAGTGGCTCACACCTGTAATCCCAGCACTTTGGGAGGCCAAGGCAGGCAGATCACAAGGTCAGGAGTTTGAGACAAGCCTGGCCAGCACGGCAAAATCCCGTCTCTACTAAAAATACAAAAAAAAAAAAAAAAATTAGCTGGGCATGGTGGTGTGTGCCTGTAGTCCCAGCTACTCGGGAGGCTGAGGCAGGAGAATTGCTTGAACCCGGCAGGTGGAGGTTGCAGTGAGCCAAAATTGCACCACTGCACTCCAGCCTGGGTGACAGAGCGAGACTCCATCTCAAAAAAATGAAAAATAAAAAAGTGTATTTTTCCTGTGAGAGAAAGAAAAGATAAAGGTGAAAAATGTAGGAAATAGATGACAAAAACTAGAATATATACTCTATATAATATCTGAACCTGACATAATATTCTAGAAGCTCTTATTTTAAACTTGAATAGCAGTTATATGGTTCAGATATTCCACAGTTTGGGTGGAGAAAACTCAGAGTATTTATTTCACATGTTTAACTTTCATCCCTGGTAGCTTTCATCTCAGTGTTTACATTTGGCATTTGGAATACACACTTCCCTTACTAGGATATTCAGATTGACTGCAGCTCATTGGCTGTTTACACCTAGATTGCTAGTTTTGTTAGTTGACTAGTGCTAGCACTATGACATTCCACTCTCATGTTTTTGTTGTTTTGTTTGTTTGTTTGTTTAGACAGAGTCTCACTCTGTTGTCCAGGCTGTAGTACAGTGGAGCAATCAGAGCTCACTGCAGCTTCAACCTCTCAGGCTCAAGTGATCTTCCCACCTCACCCTGACAAGTAGCTGGGGCTACAGGTGTGCACCACCATACCTGGCTAATTTTTTATTTTATCTTTAGTGGAGATGGGGTCTTGCTATGTTGCTCAGGCTGGTCTCAAACTCCTAGCCTCATGTGGTCTTCCTGCCTCAGCCTCCCAAATTATTCGGATTACAGGTGCGAACCACTATGCCTGGCCTACCCTCCTTTTCTTTAACAGTTCTTCTCTTTCATTGCATCTTCTGTTATCTTAACTGTTGTCAGTTTTTACTTTAATCACATACATATGCAATGTATTGATCCCCAAATATTTTTCAGTGTAATACTAGTTGCACACTTTTCAAGTATTTAAACTTTTTACTAAAAAAACCCCAAATGTTTAAATCATATAAAATTGTTAAATTTGTTAAATAAAAAGACAAAGTGCTTTGTAAAGATTTTTACAAAATCCTTATAAACAATCTTCAAATACTCTTAAAATGTTGTGAAGTTGCACATTGTGGGAATTTTAGAATTTTTTTTTTAAAAATTAAATAAATATTTAGCATGGAAAATGTTTCTAATAAGTAGTCATTGCCTAGCTAGTGCCTATCACTGTCTATAAATTTTCATAAATCAATGAGTTTGATTTTCCACGTGTGTGTGCATGAGTTATGTGGAGGTGTAATCATGTGATAACCATACCCAGATGAGCTAATCATTGTGTATACCTAAGAATGATTTAGAAAGAATTCAAGCTAGAATGTAGTACAGATATAATGAAATGAGAGCCTAAACAGAAGGGGATAGATTGAAAATGAAGTTCAAGAAAAATATAACTTTGTCTGCAGCTGTATAGCTCAAGTTAAATTCATGCATCGGATAATTTCTTTTTTTTTTTTTTTTTTTTTTTTTTGAGACGGAGTCTCGCTCTGTCGCCCAGGCTGGAGTGCAGTGGCGGGATCTCGGCTCACTGCAAGCTCCGCCTCCCGGGTTCACGCCATTCTCCTGCCTCAGCCTCCCAAGTAGCTGGGACCACAGGCGCCCGCCACTACGCCCGGCTAATTTTTTGTATTTTTTAGTAGAGACGGGGTTTCACCGTTTTAGCCGGGATGGTCTCGATCTCCTGACCTCGTGATCCGCCCGCCTCGGCCTCCCAAAGTGCTGGGATTACAGGCGTGAGCCACCGCGCCCGGCCGCATCGGATAATTTCTAAGCTATACTTAGTATTATACTAATACTACTTACCATGTTCCAGGGATATATGGCAACACAGTGAGGCACAAAAGATAATATGGAAACTGTCCCCAAGATGTTCACGATCCTCTGGGAAAGAAAACATGTTGAAATAAGTCAGGATATGCTGCTTCTTTTGTTACAAAATTCTGTAAGCAAATAAACATCAAACTCATTGTTCAGTGAGACTGATTTTGATTGAAGAACCTAACAGGACTTCTCAAATAAGTTGATCATTAGAATGGGTTATGATTTATGAATAGTCTTTCTACAGATGGCAAGGTCTAGGGAGCCAATTCCAGGCAGAAAAAGGATAACCAGTGACACAGGAATGCAAAGCTTCACAAAATTTAGAAACGATTTTGAAGACAAAAAATAACAGATGTTGGCAAATATGTGGAGAAAAGGAAATGCTTGTAAACTGTTGCTAGGAATGTAAATTAGTGTAACCCCTATGGAAAACAGTATGGAGATTTCTCAAATAATTAAAAATAGAATTACCATTCAACCCAGAAATTCCACTGCTGGGCTTCCACCCAAAAGAAAAGAAATCACTCTATCAAAATAATTTCTTACACTCATGGCTTACCACTGCACTATTCACAAGAGCAAAGTCATGCAATCAACCTAGGTACCCACAATGGTGGATTGTATAAAGAAAATGTGGCAGATATACACAATGGAATACTATGCAGCCATAAAAAATTTGAAATTATGTCCTTTTCAGCAACATGGATGCAGCTGGAGACCATTATCCTAAGTGAATTCATGCTGAAATAGAAAATCAAATACTGTGAGATGTGGGAGCTAAACACTAGGTATGGATGGACATGAAGATAGAAACAATAGACACTGGGGACTCCAAGTGTTTCCAAGTGGGAGGAGGGAGGGAGGGCAGTAGGGTTGAAAAACTACCTATTGGGTACGATGGTCATTATTTTGGTGACAGGTTCAATAGAAGCCTAAACCCTAGCATTATGCAATATACCCATGTAACAAATCTACACCTGTACCCCTGAATCTAAAATAATAATATGCATTTTAATAATTCAACTGTATTTTTTGATGTTAATCACTGTTGTCCACAATATGTGGGAACAGAAAGAGTCCAGAGAGACAGATTTTTGTCAAATTTTGAAGTGTTCTACAATGTATCCTATAGGCAAAGGAGAGCCATCAAGAGGTTGGAAGGGGAAAACATTCCTGTGGTCTGTATATGTGGTCAGCCTGGCGGCAGTGTGGATGAAGGAGCAAAGAAGTGAGCAAATACAATATGCGATGTTTGAAAAGATGTTCAGAGGCATAAGCAGTAGAGGTATTTGAATAGGTTAGATGATCTCCTGCTGATGTTGTGGAAGGAATTCTGGTGAAAGATAGGGGTGACAGATTTATGAATGATTTCATCCTTTTCAGCCCTAAAATTATAAGATTTTATAAGTTTCCAAAAATGAGTGGAATATGCATAGGTTTCAGATCAGAGGGCTTTGGATTAAAACCCCACCTCTGCCATCTTTTTTAACATGAATCTGGGATTGTCTTTAATCTTTTGGAGTCTGTTTTCTCATCCATAAAATGAGGGTGAGCATTGAGCCTCGTTGTAAGGACTGTGCTTAGCTCAGTGCCCAGTAGACAGTAAATACTCAGTGAAGTGAATCAAGCAGTCACTTAAGAGGACAGATAAACCAGCCTTCTGGCTTTTGCTTTGTGGCATTTTGTTTTAAGAGGTCAGCCTCGATCTCATACCTTTATTGCAAAGCCACATGCATAGCCTCCTGTTGAACAGATGCCTCTCTTACCCACACACTCTTATCACCTGTGACCAGGTGTGTATTTGTACTCTGTCTTTATTTTAGCAGTGAACTCTTAGAAATGTTCCCAGGGTCCATCTGGCATTAATCCTAGGAAATGACAGATACTTAGACCAAATTACACAAGATTGAAAGCACCATTTGTTCAGCTATTAAACCAATGAAAGGACACTTTTTTCAAAAAAAACTGTTCAGTAAGGCAAAAATCTGTGTAAGATAAACATCTTTCATTTTTGTCCTGGGAGAGTAAAAACAGTAGCTTTATGTCATCAATATTTGAAGATGCTTTGAAATGTGTTTAAGTTAGAAATACAAGGGATATCAGAAGTAGTATTTCTTCTCCAATTTATGCCTGTAATTCTCCTTAAAATTGTTATTTCCCAACAGCTGTTAAAACAAAAACAACAGTGTTTGCTTTGACTCTGAATATATTCCCTAATTCTCCTCCCAGTTTCTAAATTAACATAGGGATCACTAAGCTAATAAATTACATTTAATAATATGCTAAATTATGGGGACAAGGTAAACCAAGAATGTTTTAGGTGGTATCCTAGTATTATTTAACATTCTTTAAATGTGTTATCCTATTCTTATTTAAAGTTACTGAAGGCCAAAGAGAAAAACAGGCTCGCCATTGTTTTATGTGCCCTCTACCTGTAGCTCAGAGGGCAGGTAATACCTATTTAAGGTCTGTTTCACAGTATGATATTTGGGCATATCTTGAAGATATTGTGTTTGATGAAAATTCTAGGAGATATTTCCCATAAAGGATATGCTTAGGGTAAAATTGGGCTTTGATCTTTGTCTGACTTCTGCTTTTTCATTTTTTGGTTCTTTTGAGATGGAATCTCACTCTGTCGCCCAGGCTGGAGTGCAGTGGCATGATCTTGGCTGACTGTAACCTCCGCCTCCCAGGTTCAAGCAATTCTCCCGCCTTAGCCTCCCAAGGAGCTGAGACTACAGGTGTGTGCCACCATGCCTGGATAATTTTTGTATTTTTAGTAGAGATGGGGTTTCGCCATGTTGGCCAGGCTGGTCTTGAACTCCTGACCTCAAGTGATCCACCCGCCTCAACCTCCCAAAGTGCTAGGATTATAAGCGTGAGCCACCATGTCCGACCTCTGTCTGACTTCTGCATTTGACTCTCCCAGTTTTCTCAACATAAGACTCACGGAGACGACATAGAAGAGGGAAGAGACATTACAATTCTTATTCATTCATCTGGTGTTAGTCCTCACGTTAGTTAGTATTCAGCAAGAACTGGAGAGACCTGGGCTGGAGGACAATCAGAGAAGCAAGATACAGACATGATTTGAATCACCCCTTCTCTTGGAACTAGGTCCAATTTTCTGAATTTTCCCTCTGTTCCTTCTTGTGAAAAGAAATGTTCAGCAGTACTAATCGTACAGGGAATTCTAACACAGCGGACAGAGCTGAGTTTACCCTGAACTCAAGCTGGGGCCTTCCTCCATTTCGATTATCCCATCTGTCATTTTGCATTAAAACCATGTCCTTCCATTCTGTCTCCTTATATAAAGAGTACGAACAATGCTTGTCATAACTGTATCCTTTGGGCACAGAACTAGTTCAGGCATGTGGTGGGTACCCATTTGTTAAACATCTGAATAGGTGAATGTATCCATCCATGCATGCAAGGATTAATGAATGGTATCATTTAGAAGATAAAAGTACTTATTAATAAGTATTGATTGCAGTCAAATTGTATTAGACTTTGTGTGTTAATAGGTGTCCCAGGGAAAAAAAAGTTGCCACAATAATAGCTTTCTGACATTTTCCTTTTGTATTGCTATCATCCCTGACTGTAATAGTTAGCCTTAGAACCTAAAGATATCAGGTATCAGGTACTAAGGAGTTTATAATCCAGAGGAAAAATGCCCCATGACTCCATCCTATTTGAAATATTTGTATAGAAACAGACTACTAAAAATGTAGAAGTGTGAGTGCTTTCTTATAATGCATACATTCTCTCCTTTGCCAGAAGCACTGAGGTTTTGGTCTCTGGAATATCTTTTTGCTAATGATGACTATTGTCAACAATCAATAAAGGTGAATGAATATCCAGAAGCATTGGAGGAGAAAATTGCAAACACAATATCCAAACACACAGCTAGAAAAATTATTATCTAATTACCGGTCAGGTCAGTTTTGTGCAGATTGTTTTTAATTATTTGTATTTTTCCAGGGACAGCAAATAAAATTCTGCCACAATGGAAATCACTGTATGGTGGTAACATGCTTGTGTTTGCCATATAGCTTTTTTAATCTGTTAAACTGCAAGACTATTGCCATAACGTTTAACATAGCAAGAGGCTCTTAGGGCTTGTATCCTTGACCTCAAACTACCCCAGAGACTTGTGCAGGACACTGTATCTAAAGTAAGCCTGTTTATCTGGAAGTGGGTATAGAAGGCATCAGCAGCACTCCAAAGTCCTTGTAATCTCAACTAGGAGTAGAGAGATCTAGCCCATGTTAAAGTGGCAGTGCTCTGCAAGGATAATTACATTTTATTTAATGTCAAAAGATTTGGAAATGATTCCTGTCACTATCATCTTGCTAATATCACTATCTCCTTAGGCCTGGCTTTCTTCCTCTACAATACGGAATAATAATAAATTACACCATACACAGTGTCTGTGAAAAATCAGGTGAAGGCCGGGCGCGGTGGCTCACGCCTGTAATCCCAGCACATTGGGAGGCCGAGGTGGGTGGATCATGATGTCAGGGGTTCAAGACCAGCCTGACCAACATGGTGAAACCCCGTCTCTACTAAAAATACAAAAATTAGCTGGGCATGGTGGCACACGCCTGTAATCCCAGCTACTCAGGAGGCTGAGGCAGGAGAATCGCTTGAACCCGGGAGGCGAAGGTTGCAGTGAGTCGAGATCACTCCACTGTACTCCAGCCTGGGCCACAGAGTGAGACTCCATTTCAAAAAAAAAAAAAAAAAAATCAGATGAAAACGTATGTTTACTACCAATGTTTTTCATGAGATTGAAATTTCATTCTACATATGCCATTAATTAACAATTTCTTTTGTATTTGTTATTCTACAGTCTACTTGATAATGCTTTGAAGATCAGATATGTGGTTAAAATTCGTAATAAAATGTTTATTTACCTCCATATATCTAAATAGTATGTATATTCTAATTGTCTCCTGACTGACTAATCAAATTTAGACACTATGTATTTTTTTTTTTTTTTTGAGACAAACTTTTGCTCTTGTACCCCAGGCTGTAGTGCAAATGGCTGGATCTCGGCTCACGCAACCTCTGCCTCCCGGGCTCAAGCCATTCTCCTGCCTCAGCCTCCTAAGTAGCTGGGATTACAGTCTCCTGACACCACGCCTGGCTAATTTTTGTATTTTTAGTAGAGACGGAGTTTCACCATGTTGGCCAGGCTGGTCTCGAACTCCTGACTTCAGGTGATTCGCCTGCCTTGGCCTCCCAAAGTGTCGGGATTACAGGCTTGAGCCACCGCGCCCAGCCACATTATGTGTTGTTTTAAGGTAGATGTAGATTGAGCTTATTCACACTTCTGTCCTTTCTCTCTTCTACCAAATAAATTATGTCTCCATTTTCCGATAAATGAATATTTATATTGTTATTGCTATATCTATATAAGTAGTATTTATTACTAAACCAAGAAATAAACTGTGGCTTCATTCCACATTTTGAACAAGTGTTAGTTTTTGTTTTGTTTATACATAATATTGTCTCATTTTTATTCTCTCAATAGTCTTTGAAAATCTAAGTGTTTCTATACTTCCCAAGGGCTCTCTAAAATGCCTTTTAAAAATAACTTGTGGTACTGTCAAAAATTCAGATAGTTTATTACCTCTTTATTTTGTTTTGTTTTTTGGAGACGGAGTCTCGCTCCGTCGCCCAAGCTGGAGTGCAGTGGCACGATCTCGGCTCTCTGCAACCTCCATCTCCCAGGTTCGAGCGATTCTTCTGCCTCAGCCTCCCAGTAGCTGGGAATACAGGTGTGTGCCACCACGCCGGCTACTTCTTAAAAATGTGTTTGTTTTTACCTCAAAGACCTCCATCTAGACTCTCACAGTTCCTTGTTCCAGAAAACACTGGTTGCTTTCCAGGTCTACCAGGCAGCTGCCATTTTGGAATTCACCTCACTTCTTTCTAATATTGATTTTTTCATCAGACGCTTCCTTGCTGTTTTATTTTTCCTCAGTAAATTTCCTGATTTTGAAGCAGTAGATTTTTCAATAAGTTCTTGACAGGCGCACACACCATGTGAAAGGAATGTGTTTTAAGAAGTTTTAATGAAGGTCAATGAGAAGCCACACCTCTGGCAGGATACAGAGGAAGCCCATACGATATTGTTCCACGGCGAGCACTTGCTGAACTTGAAGAAACGAAAAAGGCTTCTGTAGACATTCAGTCCACACTTCTCATTTGATCATGAAAGGGGAATGGATAAAAAGGGAGTTAGCCGCAAAGCCAGAATTAAACCGTTATCCTCTGATTAACCAGACAGTGTCTTTCCTCTGGGTTGCACCATCTGGCAGGGGATGTGCATGGTAACTTTTGTATCTGATTCAATATTAAGTGATTCCGATTATACTATGCTGTGTACCTTACTACAATTATTGTCATTTTACAGGTAAGAAAATAGGGGAAAGAGTTGCAGAAATTGATTAACCAGTACAACTAGTAAGTGGCAAGTTGAAACTTAAAAAAAAAAAAAAAAAGAAAAAAACACTCATAAACAGGCATGAGCAAGAGAGAGGTATCTATGTTTGAATATTCCTGTTCTTAAAATCCCATTTCTATTCATGAACTTAAAAATAATAATTGTTTAGTAACTAAGGCCATCTTTTTAAATATTTCATGAGTTTTTCTTTGTTCAAAATTCGTAATGGTAGTAGCAACACTTTGTGTTATTACTGCAGAGCTCCCAAAACTCAGCTTTTTCTAAAGGTTAGCTAGAAATTTTCAGAAAGGCAAAGCTGATTATATGCCTGCAGGTTGGGCCTGTACAGGAGAATTTTAGAGGTAACTTTCTATTTTTTTTTCTCTTCTCAAATGAAACAATATTCAAGGTACTTCAAATCCTTAACGTATATTTTTTAAGCCACATTGACATTGAGTTCAACAAAATTTTCTCCACAATTTAAGGTGAAAAGCATTGTCCCTAAAAGCTGAAACATTGACATAATAGTGGAATTTTCTGAGATAGTTGATACAGTATGAACATTACCCATTGAAATAAAAACATATTAATGAGTAGAAATTAACCCACTTCCATTTATTTAACAACTATGTCCTGAATGTCCCCGTAACTGCTACCCTTGTTGGCACTCCATATACATAGATGAGCAAGTTATCTCCTGTCTTCAAAGAAGGAAATTGTCCAACTACAAAGCAAATGTCTAAGCTAGTAACTTGAATGCTTTTTTGGTTAATATCATATTATATGATATAGAACAATCTCTAATATGTACAATTAAGAAATACAAAATTATTGTAAAAATAATTTATGGAATATAGTTTGAGAAATTAAAGAATAATAACGTATGCATTGCTTTGATTATTTTCTTAGCGTTACATAGGCAATTATTGAGAGAGAGCGTGTTTGTCATATGGATTGAAGAGTTTTTTTAGAAACCCAAGAAGCTTTTGTAGAAGATGTCACTGGACTTGCTTTTTTCTTTTTTTGAGACAGGGTCTCACTCTGTCACCCAGGTTGGTGTGCAGTCGCACCATGCAGCATCGACCTCCCTGGGCTGAAATGATCCTCCCACCTCAGTCTCCTGAGTAGCTGGGACTACAGGCATATGCCACCATGCCCGGCTAATTTTTTGTGTTTTGAGTAACAACAAAGTCTCGCTGTGTTGCCCAGGCTGGTTTTGAACTACTGGGCTCTAGCAGTCTGCCCCCGTCAGCCTCCCAAAGTGCTGGATTACCGACGTGAGTCATGTACCCAGACGTATGTTATTATATGAGGAAGAACAGCAAGATTTTCAAGATAAAGAGAACGATAAGGCAGAAATGTGAGAAGTGGTAAGTGTTAGCTGCACTGTATTACCAGAGGATGAGGCAAGTCCAGGTGAGCGAGGTGGGAGCTGTAGCCAGGGCAGCATTGACAAGCTTTTTGGCACTCTGTTAAGACCTTGGGTATGCGTTGCAGAATTGGAAATCGTATACCTAGAAATGGGTACTATCCCCCAGGAAAGAATTTCATTGATTTAAAAGAGTAACAAATTTTCCAGGAAATTCACTTTATAAGAAATTCTGTACATGATCATTTCTTTTTGGAATTTATTTAAAAATATTGTGTTTATTAGTAGAAACAGAATAATTTGACATCATTTTCAATAATACAATGGACCAGATTCCTGAAAAATTAACATTATGGAACCCCTTGAATGTTGAATAAACATAATAAAAGTGCTTTCTATTGCCTAGTTGAACTTAGAAGAAATTAAAGAACATCCCCAAAGTCCAAACCATCAGTGGAAACTGAAAAGGAGAGAGGAACATGGGCATGAACACTTACGCTATCCAGCGGGCATTAGTCAATTCTGACCAAATGAGCTGATATTTGTACAGCCTCGAGGGAGAAATGGACAAACCATTGAGTTACTAAAGAGCCAAAGTTAGTGAAAAATAAACAAAAATATATCAGTGTGTTTTGTGAGTGTTTGACTCAGGGCTATGGGAATAAAACAACAAAACTGTCCCCTAAGAGTAGACTTCAACCTTTCCATCAATACCTACCTGTGGGGCAGCCATTTATACTGCATGCCACAGAATGTCCTGGAAAAGTATTAGCCTTTCATTATCCACCTGACACAGTAATGAACACCTTAATTACACCATATGTTCATGATGCCATGTTATCGTTATTGTTCTAACTTACTTCATCACCACATGGAAGAAAATCTCAGAATAAAAGAAAGAAAAAGAGGAATCAGTCAGGGACCATTGAGGCCTGGGGATTGGGTGAGATGCCTCAGCCTTGTTCCTACCAGTTGAGTTGATAAGCATAGGTAACATGACAGCCAACTGTATTTTAACAAATGACCTGCATACGAGCAAGATAAAAATGAGAACCACCAGCAAATACAGTGGTTTACAAACAAGTTGTGTTTTTATTGCCAGTTCCAATAAAATCTCCTTGCTAGAGTCTGTAAGTTTGTAAATCTTCAGTCACCCCATCAACACATCTTCAATAAGTGTACCTTAATGCTTTCTAGGACTTTTTGTAGAAATATAAATAGCCTCTGAGATTTGAATTTTTCATATATCAGTATGTGACTGCAGACAAATGGAAATGTGGGAGGAGAAAGAGTAGGGATACCTGATTTTTCTTGTAAGTAAATAGGGAAAGAACATACATAACATTGTGTATGGTGCACATCAATATTCCGTTTCCAGAGAAAGGACAGACTATTTTTTTTCTTTTATGTGTTCTATGAAATTAAATAATTCAAACTTAAAGCATTGGAACCTAAATTATTTGAGCCTTGAGAGGAATGTGACTAAGTAGCCTAAGTCACGTAGCATGCAGCTGAAACTTCTGCTTCTCTGATTATAGATTAACTACCTCCCTTACTCTTGTACTGTAGGAAGAGACGTGTGCCTGCCCGCCTCTGCAGACAGAATCAAGGCGCCCATAGAGGGTGCTCTGGCCTCTCTCCAGAAGCAGGTGCCTCCTGGCTTGTGGCAGCTCCACTCTGATTTCACACAGGTTCCCCTGTGTGCAGGAAGCCTGAGACGTTAAATCCACATCCAATTTTGGTCAAGATTCCATCAATTCATTTCAGCAAGTTGTAGGAAGCAGAAGTATGTGGGGAATGTGTGGATGGCAAGAGCTGATTTAGCAAGGCATATACAGATCCCCAGGAAAAGGTGACTCCGCCTTTGAGAGACCACAGGTCCTGCCCTTTGACAGGAGGTGCTGACGCTGTGGCAGCTGTGGTCCCGGGGCCAGCAGGTCATTGTCTACTACGAGGACCAGTGCTCTGTGGGCCGGCACCACGAGCTGTAGCCAGGAATCTTCTACTGATGGGGGAACAAGGTGAAGACCGATGCGCTCATCTGCTGCTACCTGGAGACCATGAAGAGCTGCGGCCGCTCGGAGATCCTGGAAAGACCTCATTTTCTACATGTCACTTGTTAGAGCCGATGGTTCAAGTTCTCAGCCAGATAATGGACGCCAGCTGCCGTTTTTATTCCACTTTCCCCTGGGGCGGGGCCTGGGAAGGCTTGCATTTCTTCTGTTGTGTAACAGCAGATGTCAGCATTTCTCAGGATGGTTTCAAGACGATTATTTAGTCCATGTTGGAATAGGTTCTTTTTGGGACCAAATTACTCTTTTTCCGAAATAAAATCGGGTACCTGGTTGCCATGGTGAACAAAATCCAGAAAGACACACTCATCGGCCATACCCACTGGCTACCTCAGCCCCACTACATTGCTGGATTAGGGTTCGAGAAGGCCCCATGGAAATGGAGGAGGAAATCATGGAACAGCCCTGATTTCCATCAGCCCTGAAACCCTGCAGTCTGTGTCAGGAGCTCTTCAATGTCATCACCAAATCCATACAGATCATTTAAATAAAGGAAGGTAATTAAAGTAAAAAAATAAAAACCTTTAGGTCTGAGGAAAGATCTAAAGGCTCTAGAGATAAGACAACCACCACCCCAAATCTATGACCTCTCCTTATGGAATATTAAAGCAATCTACCTTCCTTGGAATGCAGCAAAATGTCACCATCACATTGCTGTAAGTTATGTATTTCTTCACATGGAAAATATTGCAACTCTGTTAAAGTTCTCTATCTCTTCCTATATAAGTGAAACATCAACTTCCCCTTGGGAGCGCTGACTCTTTTCTATCGGAGTTAACCTGAGTGCCTATCCTCAAGCTTTGCCCTTGGATAAACTCTAAACTTAATCATATTTTCTGAATCTCATTATTCAAGGCTGACATTTTGGTTACCAAAAAGGGAGTCAGAGTGAACCTCCAGTCATCCCCATCATTTCACTGACAACAAGAGCCTTGGTACCATCATGAGTAATTTTGGTTCATGAGACCTTGCTGGAGTCACCAAGGTTCTCTGGTAAGGCCCCTCTTTAGTTTGAATCTCCGGGCTTGGTTGAGATTCAGACTTTTTCAAGCAGTACAAATTCCTACTTTGACGGGGTTGGAATAGAAGCGCTACCTGCAAGGTAGAAGTTTCATTTGCTATTCTCTCAATACTTTGCTCATTGTAGATTTATGATTTTCACTACTTTGTGAGGCCAAGTTTTTCTTTCTTTGTTTGTTTGTTTCAATTACTCAGAGTTTTTACAATCTTTTCTCTCATTCAAAATTTTGATCAGGGAGGAAATGATTTCTCTTTAAAAAGAGAAAGATAATCTTTGTGACTTAAGTGAAAAAACTGTAATCTTTTAAACTGGCCAGATTCTGAAGCTAGGTTCAATTGACAAATCTGCAGTTTTATTTTTGGTGACCAAAATCATAAATATTCTTTTTTTTTTTGCAATGGAGTCTCACTCTGTCACCCAGGCTGGAGTGCAGTGGTGCGACCTATGCTCACTGCAAACTCCGCCTCCCGGGTTCACGCCATTCTCCTGCCTCAGCCTCCCCAGTAGCTGGGACTACAGGCACCCGCCACCACACCAGGCTAATTTTGTTTTTGTATTTTTAGTACAGACGGGGTTTCACTGTGTTAGCCAGGATGGTCTCGATCTTCTGACCTCGTGATCCACCTGCCCCAGCCTCCCAAAGTAGTGGGATTACAGGCATGAGCCACCACACCTGGCCATAAACATTCTTTATGAGGACAAACTACATCCTGAAGATGAGACATTGTTCCTCCTGGCTAAAAGACACTATAGCTGACAGAGGTGTTATGGGGGTATTGGAGCTCATAGCTCATGACGTGAAATGGTCTCATAGGAAATCCCTTAAGCAGAACATACAGAGAACTATGCTTAATCTGAGAGGCACATGTAAATGCTGATCAGCTAGTACCTTAAGAACTCAAGTCCCGGCCAGGCGCAGTGACTCATGCCTGTAATCCCAGCATTTTGGGATGCCGAGGTGGGCAGATCACCTGAGGTCAGGAGTTCTAGACCAGCCTGGCCAAAATGGTTAGACCACATCTCTAATAAAAATACAAAAATTAGCCAGGTGTGATGGCAGGTGCCTTTAATCCCAGCTACTTGGGAGTTTGAGGCAGGAGAATCACTTGAACCCAGGAGGAGAAGGAGGTTGCAGTGAGCCAGGATCATGGCACTGCACCCCAGCCTGGGCGACTGAGGGAGATTCTGTCTCAAAAAACAAAACAAAACAAAAAACAAAAAACAAAACAAAACAAAACAAACCTCTCAAGTCTCTTGGGATCACCAAGGCACATAAAAGGGAGGAATCAACTCAAGGGTGACCTTTTTAGGAGCTATTCCCACAAGCAGCATACCCAATCTTAAAACCTCCCACTAGGTCTTCTGACAACTCTGTTAAATTTCAAAAGGAAAATCTAAATTATGGCAATCGCACTTCTAAAAACCAAGTCTTCCTCCTTAAGGAAGAGACTCATTGTTAGAAACATCTGCTGGATTCATGTATAATACTTACGGTGTCTCTTCATGCAAATATTTAGAAAAATGGTCTCACATAACTCTCAATGACCTGAAATTGCAATGTCCAAAATGGGGTATCTTTGAAATACCTAAAGTAGTTTATCTGTGTATTCAATTAGAAAATAATCTCTAAAATAAAATGAAATACCTGGGAGAGTTATTTTCAGTGGTACTTAGAAGTTTTTAAAAGACATTCTGATAAAATCATTTATTTGCAGAAGGAAAACAAAAAATTGACTAAAACAATTTCTGAATTGAAAAAGACTGCTGAAATTTATTTTCCTTCAGCTCCTCCTTCTCTGTATGCCCCACTGACAGAACGTCTTTCAGGGGACTCACTTCCCATTCCTTCTGCTCCTCCTTCTTCTGTGTTCCAACTCCATTTCAGGAACACCATGTCTGTTAGAGAAAATCCTGCCTTGGTTTACTAACCATGGGCCATCATAGAACTTGAAGACATAATTAAAGAATTCTCAGATCCTCTTCAGCACCATATTTGATTTACTAGGAAATATGAATTAAATATTTGAATGTATGATCCCAGATTCCCTGATTTATATCAGTGAGTTCACATGTTAGTGTCAGAAAGTAAAGGCAAAGATTGGATTGAAAAGGCAAATTAAAGAAATGCTTTAGGATGTCAATAAATTTTCTAAAGCAGATCATGAATGGCCCCAACAATCCTGCCAAAACTCTACTAGATGTTTTCCCCTGAGTTTTCTGAAAAGCAGTTGATCGAAACAAAGTATAACAAAGCCAACAAAATACTGAAGAGCCTGTAATAACATACTATAGAAGATTTTGGGGAAAAAAAGTTTAAACAATATTCAGACCTGTCAGAAGAAAGTTATATTTACCACCAAAATGAAACACTGCTTAACTCAAACTTTATAAACATATTAGATGAAGAACTGGCAATTATAATAAAGAGACAACAACCCTTTTAGGCTGTCTGTCAAACTCATGACCATGTTAACTCTGCCAACCAAATGTCCTGTACCCTAACCAAGGAGGAAAAGGAAAGGAAAACTAAACATAAATAGAGAGAAAAGGCAAATACGGTCATGAGTTTAAACCTAGAACAATTGTTCAACTAATCTGTATCCCCTAAACAGCCTAGTACATTTCAGAACCAACCCATTCCCTGGTTTGCAATTACTGCAAAAAGCCTGGATAGTTTTTAAAAGACTGTAGAAAATTAAAATGGAAAGAACAACAAGAGGCCAAAGAAAAGGAAGAATAGGAATGTTTCAAGAAAACCAAAGGGACCTGCTGTTTTCTCCTCACTTATACCTTAGTGTAAATTTAAACTATTTTAAATGGAAAATGAACAAAACTGTTATTGACACAGGAGCTACCTTAGCAGTGATAAATCCCACCTTATTACAAGGTCTCATTCTTCAGAATCACAAAACAATACAAATGGTGAGATTAACAAATATTCCTATAACAGCATGTATACCTCAACCTACAATTTTCAGTCAGATCCCCTAGGGGAACACATATTTTACTCTTGGTTCCCTCAGCCCCTATCCATTTGATAGAGAGACCCTTTTCAGAATTATACAATACCTCATCTCTTTCTCTCAGAAAGGGGAAATGTATTTAGAATTAGAAGACAAAATAGAATCATTTGGAAAAATTTTTCTTTGAACTCAGATCTTTTTAATTCACAGATTACTATTTATATTGTCATAGAAGTAACTAAAATGTTAAATCATGAAAAATTACAAGAACTGTTAAAAATACTATGTGATCATCAGTACCTGATGGAGTTAAAATCCCCCATCAATATTGGGAAAATTATCTCAGCTGTGCCAATTAAAATTCAAAGAGATCTAACAGAATCTCTTCTGAACCTTAAATACCCTCTAAGATCAGAGGCCTTGAAAGGGATAAGACCTATATTGTTGAATTATATAATAAGAGGCTTGATTATATCTCATACAAGCCCATGTAACACTCCAATCCTCCCTATAAGAAAACCAAAGAGTAGAGGATGTCAGACTTTTATAGGATCTGAGAAAAATGAATAATATTGTTATTCCTCAGCATCTATGAATACCAGACTCCCATATATTGTTGACTGTCATCCCAACTGTTACTGCAAGAGACCTATGTAGTTCATTCTTTAGCATTCCTATGGGTAAAGATAGTCAATTTCTATTCTCTTGCACCTGGGAAGACAGACAATACCCATGGACAGTCATGCCTCAGGGATGTATGAAGAGCCCAACTTATTTTTCATAAATATTAAAGGAAGACTTTTTTGATGTCGTCTTCCCTAAAAAATCCACCTTGATACAGTACATAGATTATTTACTCTCTGCTCAGGGAATAAGCAAGCCTCCATAGGTAATAATTTTTTTTTTTACAGTAATTAGCTTCAAAGGGACACAAAGTCTCAGAAGAAAAACTTTAGTTCTGTTAAAAAACAGGTGATGTATAGGTCATCTAGTATTGAAGGAAGTTCTTTTTATCAATCTGTATAGAATAAAAGGAATATTAGCCTTCCCTAATCCAAAACTGTTAAACAACTGAGAGAACTTTTAGGGTTGACAGGATGCTACAGAAACTGGATTCCAAATTTCACTTTGAAAGCTCAATATTTATATACTCTTTTAAAATGAGATAAGCCAGACCACCTGGAATGGACAGAGAAAAATCAGTTAACACGAGAACACATTAAAAGGAGTTTTATAGATGTTCCAGCATTAGGATATCCAAATTATAATATTCAGTTTTCATTGTTTACTCATGAAAATCAGGGAAACACCCTAGGAATTCTGACTCAAAAACATGAAAATCAAAATAGATGTGTCGGATACTGTAGTCAACAACTGGACCTTATGGCTAAAGGATTTCCAACTTGCATGAAAGTAATAACTGCTACTGCCCTGTTAATCAGAGCACAGAGAAATCAAATAAATAGTGATGAGATGCCCCTGTAGGGTCTTTGTTCCTCATTCTGTGAAAGTGCTTCTAAACTTGTACCACACTCAATGCTATTCACTGACTAGGCTGGCTTCTTAAAAAGTTCTTCTTCCTTCTTTTCCCCATATTATAATCTCCAGATGTAATAATCTAAATCCTGCCACTCTTCTACCCCTGCCATCAGAAGAAATGCCACATGATTACATAATTTCTCTTTCCCAGGGCAGACCTACAACCCCTATTTCCCATAAACACTAATGTTTGGTTGACAGATGAATCTTACTTGAAGTATAAATGTAGAATTCATCATGAAGGTTATGCTATAGTATATTCAATTGAGGAAATAGAAAGTGCTTATCTTCCAGAAGCAATCTTGGCTCAACAAGCAGAGTTAATAGCATTAATTAGAGCTTGTCAATTGTCAAAAGTAATAACTGCTAATATTTATACAGACAGCTAATATGCTTTTGCAGTAGCTCATGACTTTGGAATACTACGAAACAAAGAGGACTTTTTGACCTCTTCCAGTCAGTCCATAAAAAAGCGGACACCTTGTTTTACAATTATTGGAAGTCAAATTATTGCCAAAATCATTACCATTATCAAGATTCCAGGCCATACAAAGTCAAACACTGCAGAAAGCAAGAGAAATCAATTAGTAGATTACATGGTCTAAAGAGCTGCTCTAAATGTATCTGAACAGGAAAATCAACCCATTTTAGCTTTTAAGAAAGCATTTGATTCTAATATAAAATTAGCTCAATCCAAAGCTCCAAAAGCACAACAAGAAAATTGGGAAAGATAGGGGAACATAATATTCTGAAACTGACGGTGGTATGGACCAAATGGTCTACCCAAAGTTCTAACCAAATTATAGTCATCTTTCTTAGTATATTTTCCAACTCATTGAAACATAACCCAGGAAAGCTTTCATAGTTTTTAAGGTCCTTTTCTTACAGAAGGCCTTTTCAAAGTATGGCAATTATATTTTATTCATCTACCACTATTACAAGGATGCAAATATGTTCTAATGATGGTTTGTATGTTTTCTCATTGAGTGGAAGTATTTTCAAACAGAAAAGCAATAGCCTTAGCAGCAAGTAAAATTATCTTAGATAAAAAAAGTATTCCAACCTGAGGAGTTCCCCTAGAACTTTATACTGACAGAGGTGCTCATTTCAGTAGGCAAATAACTCAGTCAGTATGAAAAATACCTATCACTGCCAGTCATCTGAATTAGTGGAATGCACAAACAAAATAATTAAAACTCAATTGACCACCTGTAATCTCAGCACTTTGTGAGGCTGAGGCAAGAGGATAGACTAAGGCCAGAAGTTTGAAACCACCCTGGGCAATATAGAAAGACCTTGTCCCTACAAAAAACTTTTAAAACTTAGCCAGGCATAGTGACACATGTCTGTAGTCCTAGCTCCTTGTGAGGCTGAAGTGGGAGGATTGCTTAAGTCCAGGAAATTAAGGCTTCAGTGAATCTTGATCATACCAGTGCACTCCAGCCTGGGCAACAGAGCAAGAACTTTTCTCAAAAATAAATAAATAGGCCAGAAGCAGAGGCTCATGCCTATAAACCCAGCACTTTGGGAGGCCAAGGTGGGTGGATCACTTGAGGCCAGAAGTTCAAGATCAGCCTGGCCACCATAGCGATACCCCATCTCTACTAAAAATATAGAAATTTGGCTGGGCATGGTGGCACGTGCTTATAATCCCAGCTACTCTGGAGGCTGAGGCTTGAACTGGGAAGGTGGAGGTTGCAATGAGCCAAGATAATGCCACTACACTCCAGCCTGGGAGACAAAGTGAGATGCTGTCTTAAATAAATAAGAATGAAAACCTCAAATGGCAAAATTAACTGAGGTTTTTAAAATTCCTTGGCCAAAATATTTTCCATTAGTTTTGCTTAGCCTAAGATTAATTCCCTTCAGTAAGCACCAACTGTCTCCACTTGGAATTGTAACAGGTAGATCTTTGAAAATGTCTCTAGGAAAATTTTGAATCAATGATATTAAAAGAGAATGTGGTCTTAAAAACAGCTAACTGAAAACTGTAATTTAGAACAAGACTCTACAGTGAGCTCCTGGACCTCAAGGACCTTGGGATTCAACCAGGAGTCTTTGTCTATTTGAAACAGAATCTTTTAAAGGACTCCCTCCAACCGAGGTAGAAAGGACATTATCAGGTGCTTCAAACTAACCCTCGTGCTGCTAAGCTAAAAGTAATTGATTTCTATTTACACATCACCCATTTAAAGAAAGTTACTTTGCCAATTTGTACTTCATCTCAAACCTGTGATCTACAATGGAAATTCTCCATAACTAGCAAAGATGAGAAAAAGACATCTGAGGTAGACAGCTTTTCCAAGACACCACACCGTTATGTTTTGTTGCTACTATCATCAGCTGTTGCCAATGAAGCAAACCTTTTTTTGCAATGGGCTCAAGACTAATGGATTACAGAAAACCACTTGTTGGGTATACAGCCTCATGCCTCTTTCCAGTGAGTCCGGCCTACTGTGGTAGGTATCTCTGTTCCAAGACAAGATTGGGTAGAACACCAGAAATATATCTGTTTCTCAAGGATAGTCATTGGTGCTTAACACTTATATGACCAAGGATGTTATACATCACTGGCTTAATTATAGTACTTTACAAAGTAAAGGATATAGGGAAAGATTTCTGGTAAATGAAACCAATTGTTTAGCCTTAATGATAGCATTGATCAAACTGAGCAATAAGGCCACTCAATTTGAGGAGGATAGAACACAATTTGAGATGGTCTTATTTGGTCTACCCTGTCTTTTGGTCTGCTCAGTGAGCTTGCTCCTTCAGATTGGGAACAAAAGAATCACATCAAAGACACATGGCCCGATAGCACTAGAATTATGGGAAGGATACCTAAGGGAACAGTGTATCCACACCATTATATTAAAAGTACTGATTGACATGCTATTGTGTGGGAAGAGTGACTGGGTGTTTAATCACTAGCTCCAAATAAAGCCTATTGGCTATGCAGCACCAGTCTATGGTCATGGCTACCAGGAGGTTATTTAGGACTTTATTTTCTAGGTTATACCTAGGTACAGGTTCAAATATTTCATACTCTTTTAAAGCACGCCCATTTTCCTTACTAACAATCTTGTCGGGTTCATTCTGTATAATCATTTAGCTTCTATCTTTCTGCCACAACTGGGTACTACAGATGGCACTTGGCATATAGATGCCCTAAACAATTATAGAAAAAAGCCTGAAACAATACCTCATGGATATCTTGTTATTCAACAATAAAGTTTGTCTTATGAGAAAGGCTGCATTACAGACCCATATGGCATTAGACATACTCACTGGAGCCTAAGTGAGAAGCTGGGCTATCATAAAAGCTGGGTGTTGTGTGTATATCCCAAATGAATAAGACAACATCACTAAATTACTGGCTGACATTAAAACCCAAATAACCAGTCCTTTCTAAACAATTGGCTAAGCAGCTTGTTTGGATTTTGGGGACCCTGGTAGAAGAAGTTGTTACCTATTCTAGGAATTATAATCATTTGTTGTGTTTCGTTCTGTTTTTGCCTTTACTGCTGCTGTGGTATTTGTTTGCAGTGGACCCAATGCAAAACTAAATAAAACAAAATAATTATCAGGCAAAGAATTGCATTAATTGAAGAGATACAGCTGTGTAGTCTGATTCAGGTCACACAAGCATGTCCTTCAAGTTGCTCTAAATTAGTCTTATACCACATCAGCTTTATAACCTGACAAATTCCTTCTGCTATGGGATATGACTTTCTAGGAATGAGCCTTCCTAGCGATGTGGGACTAAGCTTCTGAACATAAAAGGAGCCAAAACAGCTTGAATTCATCTATGATGTTTTCTTTGAAAGATCTTGATGAAAAGGAAGAAATTTGAAATTAAAAAATTTAAACATAAAGCTGTTGAAACTTTAAATTATTTGAGCCTTGAGAGGAATGTGACTATGTAGCCTGAATCACATAGAATGCAGCTGCAAATTCTGCTTCTGTCATTATAGATTAACTCCCACCCTTATTCCTGTACTATGGATGATTAGGAAAGACTAAAAGGTGAAAGAGATAAGACCCCCCCTTGAGCCCATTAACCCTCCTTAGGGAACATTAAAGCAATTTTCCTTGGAATGTAGCAAACTGTAACCAATCACGTAGCTGCAACTTATGTATTGGCCTTGGAATGGAAAATGTTGCAACTTCTAAATTTCTCTATCTCTCCCTGTATAAGTGAAATCTTTACTTCTCACTTGCAAGCACTCATTCCATTCTTTTGCAGTCAGTGTTATCCAGGTGGCTATCCTCAAGCTTGGCACTTGAATAAACTCTATACTTAATCACATCTCCTGATTTGCATTATTTAAGTTTGTCACTTCCTGTATGCTTTTATTAATTTATTTCCATTATATGTATTCATTTAGGCCTTAATGTTTATTTGAATACTACAGTTCATATTATGTGACTTTATATTCTCCCTCAGTCATTATCATTGATTATTCCTGCTTTTTTATTAAACAACTTTGCACTTTGTATGAAATCACAATTGCCTCATGCAGGTAATCCTCTACGCAATAAAAAATGCACTCTTCTTAAGATAATGAAGAAGTTTCTGTAGACCGCAGGACACCTTACTGAATTAGAATGTACCAAATGCAGGGGCATTAAATATTCTGGATTTCTGCTTTGTAAGGCATCACACTTTTTACTCCAAATCCTGTGTGTTTTCTGTAATGAGGAAAGCAAAATGAAAAATATCTTATGCAAATGTTATGTGTCTGACAATTCACATACATTTTCTTTAACAAATCATTTAGCTATGTTCATTTTATACATAATCCAAGCCTCTCCAATATCCCAATATTTTGATCATGCCATCATAGGAAACAAAAAATCAGATTCTAGCCCGATTTATATGATACCCTAGGTATTTTTCTTTTACTCTGATATTTTAAGTCAGGAATGTCAAAAGCTGAGTAGCCACATGTCAATTCCCTGATCTCTTTTTTCCTATTTGGCATTTTTGAATTAGGAAAAATTAGAACTAACATTTAATCAATATCTACTTATGTCATGTACTATGGTGAGTGATTGGCCCACATTTTTATTTTTTTTCCCCCCAAAATGTCATATCACACTATTTTCTTTTTGGAGTTGAAATAATGGAACATTACTTAAAACTGATGATGTTCTAGTATAATACAGCTGGTGAAGGGGTAAATAACTGATAGAATAAATCAGTTTTAGAGTTGAGATCCAAAGTCTAACTCTCCACTAGAAAGTGTTAACAAGAAACTGACGGTCTAAAACAGGCGGAAATTGGTATCCATACCCATGCAGTTCCACAATAACTAACCAGAGCTGGGCCAAGAAAAAACAATGTGAAGAACAAATAGTAAATATTGAATATTTGCTAGAGAAAGTAACCACCCTTCTCTTCCTATTTACTTGGTGGAAAAAAAGAGGAAACCCCTTTCCAAATCTAGATCTGGCAAATCAAATCAAATTCTCAGGTATGAAACATCAGCATCAGGTGAATTAAAGAGGTAGAGTTAGCTACCACCCTAAAGGTGACAAACAACAGAGATATGGCCCCTAATAGATATACCCAAGTTTTGAAGTACAAGCTGTGGGAAGCCTGTGAAATTGATACAAGGGCTTAAAAAAATTATTTAGGCAGATAGTGAGGGTAAGAGAGACCTTTGTGAAATTTCCTTTTAATAAAAAGCAGCCCCAAAGTAATTTCTTTTCTAACAAAAAGCAGCCTGAAAAATCAAGCTGCAAACATAGCTAAGCAAGCAGGAAGCTTGCATAAGTAAATGCCAGCAGCTGCGCCAACAGAAAAGGGATACCTGGAAGCCAGGTATGTTCAACATGGAGGCTCATTCTTCCCTTTTGTTTGTTGCCAAGTGTGCAGTAAAGAAGCAGACAACATGGCTCCGGCCAGGTAGAGAACCTATCTGCATAATAAAAGACTAGGGGAGAGTGGCCAGCTTCCTCAAGCACTATGTAAATGGCACACCTGGTCCAACCAATCCCTTGTGCCCTATGTAAATCAGACACTGCCTCCTCAAGCTCATCTATAAAATCAACTACATCTCCCCACTAACGGGAAGATCTGCTCAGAACCCCCTCCCTTTGCACGAGGGAGCTTTCCTCTTTTGCCTGTTAAACTTCCACTCTTAAACTCACGTCTTGTGTGTCTGTGTTCTTGATTTCCTTGGCGTGAGGCAACAAACCTCGGGTATTACCCCAGACGATTGAAGACACTTCAAAATTACCTCATTCCTGCACCTAATCCCATGTATATAGGGTGCATATTTAGTATATCATCCAAATTAGGACCCTTCTTGAAGTGTGTGAAGGCCCTAATAATAGTCAGATTTTGAGAGAAGGAATAAACCAGGATGATTCCAAAAGAGTCCAATATGTGTTGATCCTGCATATGTAACACCAGGCCACTCCTCAGACGGCACTTGAGCATGTTCTCATGCCAATTAATGCCTCTCCACGTTTTTTTTTGGTTTTTGTTTTTGAGGCGGAGTCTCGCTCTGTCACCCAGGCTGGAGAGCAGTGGTGCAATCTCAGCTCACTGCAAGCTCCGCCTCCCGGGTTCACGCCATTCTCCTGCCTCAGCCTCCCGAGTAGCTGGGACTACAGGCGCCTGCCACCACGCCCGGCTAATTTTTTGTATTTTTAGTAAAGACGGGGTTTCACTGTGTTAGCCAGGCTGGTCTGGATCTGCTGACCTCGTGATCTTCCCGCCTCAGCCTCCCAAAGTGCTGGGATTACAGGCGTGAGCCACGGCGCCCGGCCCTGCCTCTCCACGTTTTTCTAGTTTATCAGGTTCTATTTGTTCCTCAAATAGTGTCCTGCAATGCCCAAGATACACTTTCTAAATTTGCTTTCCCAAAGACCAACATTTCTACATGCTCTAAATTATTTTCTATCAAAAGGAAAATAGGCTCTTTTGCCAAGTAACTCATTTTCCACCACTGGGGAAAATGAGAAATTTTGGAAATAGAATATTTTATCTCATCCATAAAGTCAACAAATTAGTTCCGAAAGCCTAAGAGAAACTCACGCAGAGCTCCTATAATCCCAGAGACCACCCATAGGAAACTTCAGGGGAAAGAACGACAAAAGAGCCCCAAGATTCCTAGTTATGTTTTTGCCTATCACAAATTAACATTTCATAATAATAACGCCTCATGGATCTGGCTAAGGAAATATTCTGACAGGGGCTTCTTTGAGGCTATCAAATGAAAACTCTGTTGTTTTTCTTACCCAAACATTATGAGAAGGAAACAGGTAAAATAGCTGGAATGATCGTCATTCATCATTTGGCACTGAAAATCTGAGCCTGTCTCTTGGGCATCTTTTCAGTTATTTATGTTTCCTTTTTGGTCCATGTATGATAAACTTTTGTCTGCAAAATAAATCACCTGAAGACAGCAGTAATGTTTCAATTTTTATGAACACAAAATATATAATCACTAATCAGAACTATCAACAATGCAAAATGACTACAATGAGTCATATTTTCAGACATAAAATGGGACTCTGATGTTGCAATACCTGCTGTAGCATTTTCATCAGAAAACGTAGAACTCCTTTTAGAGTCCTGAAATGATGCATGTGGTTTTCATACCTCTAGCTCTAATTTTAGCTAGCAGTCTTTTAGAAAGCAGGGAACCCCTAATTTTAATAGCACCTTGAGACCAATGCTTTATTTTAAGAGAGAAAAGAAGTAAATTCTAGGGAGAGAAAGTAGTATTCTCACGCAGTGTTACACTGCTAGTGAGGACCACAGTTAGAACTGGAGACTGGATGGAGCTGAGTCCCTGGCTCATTACACTGTTTTCTTCCAGCTTTATTTAGATATGATTGATAAAAATACATTTAAAGTGTAAAAATGTGTTGTTTTGACATATATATTCATTGTGAAATGGCTACCACAATCAAGCTAACATATCCGTCACCTCACTTACCTACCATTTGTATGTGTGCACATACATGTGTGTTTACACAGTGAGAACATGAGATCTACTCTCTTAACAATTTCAAGAATTATTATTAATTACAGTCACCATGCTGTACATTATGTCTCCAGAACTTAACTGAAAATTTGTACCTTTACCAATATTTGCACTTTTCTCTCTCCCTCAGCTCCTGATAACCACTATTCCACTTTGTTACTATGAGTTTGAATTTTCTTTTTTTTTATTCCACATATAAGTGTGATCATGCAGTATTTGTATTTCCATGTTTAGCTAATTCCATTTAGTATAATGCCCTCCAGGTTCATGCATGTTGTTGCATTTGTATCAACATCTTTGCCCTCATGACCATCTTTGTCCTCTGATACCTACCAGTGCTCTTAATTTTAATATTACTGTTTTTTCTTTGTGTATGCCATCCTATAATCTCTACTTAAGTCTCATATGGTAATATTGACCTTCTCTTGGCCTCCTTACACCCTGGCTTTAGCCTTTGTTTGTGTATTACCTTGGTCTCTCTTTATCCTTTATTTATGAATGCATTTATATAGCTTAACCTTTGATAACATGCATATTAAATAGAATAGGCTTTAAAAAGTCTCTGATCCTTTTTTGTCTCTTTGCATTCTCCTACATTTATAAACTTGGAATAAAAGCTATTAAATGCATTAAAAATAAAAGAAACAAAATAGTATGAGAGGGATACATTTTTAAGGCTGATCATAATACTAAATATTGTCAGGTCTATATTTTAAGGAAAACAAAACTGCTAGTCTTAAAGGAGGCACTTTAGAAATATGCCCTAGACTTTGGCAACAGTCTTCTAGCTGGTGTCTTGGCTAGCAGCCACCTTCTCCTCCATTTCATTTCCATCCAACTGCTGAATTGATCTTCCTAAAATGCAAAATGCATCATTTCATTTAGCAGTCTAAATGCCTTCTGTGACTTCCTATTGCTTAGAGAAGAGAAGATACATTCATTAACTTTGAGGTTTTTCCATAATCTGCCCTACCCTCACCTTTCTACTTGTGTAGCCTTGTCTCTGGCCCCTGATCAAGACAAGTGGGATGCTTCCCTGCTTAACAACAACAACAACAACAATCCTCTAATATATCATAACTTCCTTTATGCCTCAGTGACTCAGTGTATATCTTTTTTTTTCTGCTTCAGATTTAGCTCTCTCTTTTTGAATAGGAAACCATTTTCACCCTGCAAGATCAAATCTAAATTTTAGAATTTCTATAGTTTCCTAACTTATGCATTCATCTTTTCTCAATCCATATACTCAGTCGAAAAATATTTGAGGGTGTTTTCTAGGTCCTTGGCTCTCTTTGAGATGTCAGGAAGAAAAATGCCAAAAAAAAAAAAAAAAAAGACACACAAAAAAGCTTTTTTTTTCTCCCATGGCATTTATATCTTAAAGGCTAGAAAAATTAAAAATTAACAAATAAGTAAGAATGTATTTTAAGATAATATTGAGTACAATAATAAAACCAAGGTTATAATGTAAAAATGCCAGGGAAAAGGGATGAGTGTCATAAACTTGGTTGTTAGGGAGGCAACTTTTTTTTTTTTTGAGACGGAGTCTCGCTCTGTTGCTCAGGCTGGAGTGCAGTGGCGTGATCTCGGCCCACTGCAACCACCACCTCCCAGGTCCAAGCAATTCTCCTTCCTCAGCCTCCTGAGTAGCTGGGATTACAGGCACGCGCCACCATGCCCGGCTAATTTTTTGTATTTTTAGTAGAGACGGGGTTTCACCATGTTGATCAGGCCGGTCTCAAACTCCCGACCTCGTTATCTGCCCGCCTCAGCCTCCCAAAGTGCTGGGATTACAGGTGTCAGCCACCGTGCCTGGCCTAGGGAGGCAACTTTTAGGAACCTTTTCTTGAACTGAATGAGTGAAGGGAGCTAGAGTGGGAGAGACAGAGATTTCAAAAGCGTGATATAGGAATACGAAAGATCTAAAATGAACCAAATTTGTTCTGTTTGAAAGAAAAATAACAACAGAAGAATGGTTTTATTGGAATGTGATACACAAATTGAAATTGGTAGAAGATGATGCACACCTTGCTCCCTGGGGGATGAGGGGTGCAAATATCTATACATACTCCTGCTTCACTGTTCTTATATCTATTTATTTTCATATTTATTTTTGCTTTGTATGTTCACATATCAGAGCCCCTACTAGCTTGTGAGATACTTCCACAAAAATACAGTTTACACATTTTGTCATATTTTTCTGTGCCTAGAATGGCCTGAGAAAACACAAAGGGTGTGTAGACTCATATGTTCATTCACTTATTTATTTCTTTATTTCAAATGTATTTACTGAGGGCCCAATAAAGAGCAGGTACTATGTATAGACATTGGTGATAAACTGATCAGCTAAGATTGTTGTAGCCTCTGCCTTTATTATATAACATGTAGGTGATTCACCAAATTACTGCATTGATTAATATAGTATTAAAATTTAATAGGTAATATAAAGGAGAGATACGTATACTATTTTTAGGAATCAGAGAAGATGTTCAGGTAGATTCTAAGCCACAATCTGAAGAATAAATAGGAGCTTATTTCATGAATACTTTGCCTGAAAGAAGAGCTTAAGAAAAGGCCCTAGTTGTGGAGGGCAAGATGCACAGCATTGAAAGAAAGCTACCCTTGCAAATCATATAAAGGATTTTGGCTTTTACTCTAAGAACAATGGGAAGTCCATCGTTTCATCTTAAGTAGCCACCCAAGTATTATTAATAATTAACTATGCTTGACAAACACTGTGAGTTCCCACCTCATGGCTAATCAATCTTTTCTCTATCCCTACTGCTGCCATAAAATATAATAAGATAGCCAGATGACTTCCCTGACGAAAACATGACATAAAATAACCTTCCTGCTTTCTTTCCAGGATCACGCTTCCACTGTTTTCATCTAGATACCTGTTCTCATGCCATTCGTGTAATGTTTATTGCCCTAAAAATGCAGCGTTGTCACTTGTCTTCGTGACTTTGAACCTCTGTTCATTTGTGCTGCCACACCTGAATGAATTCTCGTCGGAGGAGCAATAACCTGATTTATAATGAGATCAGGCATCTCTTCATGGGTCGTGTGCACAGGATTTAGAATCTGGGATTATCATTGACAATCTGGTATCTATCTCACGCAACCAGAAATTGTTATTCGTCTAGATGTGGAATACGAGAATTTGTGATACATTTTCAGGGTTGTTTTTCATTTTAATTTCTTAATTTTGATGAAATTAGCCTACAAAGGATATTAATGATCCTACCAATCAGAGTCGAAAGTTGTAATCCTGCTAGTGTCTTTAGGAATAGAATTCAAAACTGAGAAGGCTGCCTATCTCTACCCCAAACCAGCCTATATTTTGATTTAGTTTATGGAGGCAGAACAGAAAGTCTCTAAGAAATAATTTAAGTATCTTCCAAGAAAAAAGATACAGGGGAAAATGAATCAGGAATAATGTCACCATGCTGGGCACAATGTTCCAGTTTTATTACGACAGTAGTCACAGCTTCTGCATAAGATGTGGCTGCTTTATTGGACCCTGCTGACCACTAACCATGACAAAACTAAAGAATAGCCCACCAAAAAAATATAAGCAAACAAAAGAGACAAAGTAAATAACAAAACGTATGCTTCTACTTTACTTTCTCTCCCTCTCTTTCTCCCTCTCTTTCTCTCTCTCTGCATACATAAATTTTTCATTTGTTAGAAGCTGTACATATATGGGGAACAGAAGCTTGCATAGCTGCTTTATTTATTCGTTGCAATGGGATTTCTCAACCTCTGCACTATTGATATTTTGGGCTGAATAATTTGTTGCAAGGGGCTATCCTGTGCATTGTAGCATTTTTAGCAGCATCTTTAACCTCTACCCACTAGATGCCACTAGCACCCTTCTGCCCCTGCCTGTGATACAAAAATATCTCCATATATTGGCAAATGTTTCTTGGGGGCAACAGTGAGAACCATAGTATTACAAAATGAATTAAGGGTCTAATATGATCAAGAAAATGTGCTAGATAATTTACATTTCCACATGCTCTGTGCCTTTGTCTATATATCTACATATGAAGCCCATTAAGTTGTGTATATCCTGTAGGGGTGATTCTTACATTATCTCATTTAATTCTCACAAATATTCTTGAACCAGATATTTTTATTACCTTCAACTCATGTTGAAACTAAGGTTCAGAGAAGTTAAGTAACTAGCTTAAAATCGATAAACAATAATTGGTAGTGAAATACAAAAACAATAAAAGGTATAACCAGGATAGGAACCTAAATACTCTCATATAAACCACTGACAGATTGGGAACATTTTGATTAATTATCATCTAGTTTGATATCTAAGTTTTACAAATAAAATTTTGAAATTCACTACCTTATTACTTTCATTATATTTCAAATATACACACAATAAAAATCTCTCATGCATGTAAAAAAGAGCATATTTTCAAAGACCGTTCATGTCCTATTTCTGTTATATCTCTCATAACAATCCCATGAGGGCAGCATCGCAGGAGTTATGCTCATTTTATAGCTGTAGTAACTGTGGATCAGGGAAGTTAAATGACTCACACAAGTACTTATAGTCTATGTACAACAGAACTTGGATTTATCTAATATATACATATGCATATACGCACACAAATGTACACACCTATGTAAATGTCTGTCAGAATATCATGACCACTGGGTATGTCTCTAACATACTAATTTTGGGTTTTATTATTATTATTTTTTAATTTCTTCTAAAAACAAAAATGGGATACATGTGCAGAACGTGCAGGTTTGTTACATAGATATACATGTGCCAAGGTGGTTTGCTGCATCTATTGACCCATCCATTAAGTTACCTCCCCTCAACTCCCACCCCACAACAGGCCCTGGTGTGTGTTGTTCCCCTCTCTGTGACCATGTGTTCTCAATGTTCAACTTCCACTTATGAGTGAGAACATGCGGTGTTTGCTTTTCTGTTCCTGTGTTAGTTTGCTGAGGATGATGGCTTCCAGCTTCATCCAAGTCCCTGCAAAGGACATAATCTTGTCCCTTTCTATGGCTCCATAGTATTCCATGGTGTATATGTGCCACATTTTCTTTATCCTGCCTATCATTGATGGGCATTTGACTTGGTTCCATGACTTTGCTATTATAAATAGTGCTGCAATAAACATACGTGTGCATGTGTCTTTATGGTAGAATGATTTATATTCCTCTGTGTATATACCCAGTAATGGGATTGCTGGGTCAAATGATATTTCTGCTTCTAGATCCTTGAGGAATCACCGTACTGTCTTCCACAATGGTTGAACGAATTTACATTCTCACCAATAGTGTAAAAGTGTTCTTATTTCTCCACAGCCTCGCCAGCATCTATTGTTTCTAGACATTTTAATAATCGCCATTCTGACTGGCATGAGATGGTATCTCATTGTGGTTTTGATTTGCATTTCTCTAAGGATCAGTGATGTTGAACTTTTGTTCATATGTTTGTTGGCCACATAAATGTCATCTTTTGAGAAATGTCTGTTCATATTCTTTGCCCACTTTTTGATAAGGTTGTTTTTTTCTTGTAAATATGTTTAAGTTCCTTGTAAATTCTGGATATTAGACTTTTGTCAGATGGGTAGATTGCAAAAATCTTCTCCCATTCTGTAGGTTGCCTGTTCACTCTGATGATAGCTTCTTTTGCTGTGCAGAAGCTCTATAGTTTAATTAGATCCCATTTATTAATTTTGGCTTTTGTTGCGATTGCTTTTGGTGTTTTTGTCATGAAGTCTTTGCCCATGCCTATGTGCTGAATGGTATTGCCTAGGTTTTCTTCTAGAGTTTTTATGGTTTTGGGTTTTACATTTAAGTCTTTAATCCATCTTGAGTTAATTTTTGTATAAGATGTAAGGAATGGGTCCAGTTTCAGTTTTCTGCATAATGCTAGCAATTTTTCCCAGCACCATTTACTTAATAGGAGTTCCTTTCCCTATTGCTTATTTCTGTCAGGTTTGTCAAAGATCAGATGGATGTAGATGTGTGGTGTTATTTCTGAGGTCTCTGTTCTGCTACATTGGTCTATATGTCTGTTTGGTACCAGCATCATCCTGTTTTGGTTACTGCAGCCTTGTAGTATAGTTTGAAGTCAGGTAGCGTGATGCCTCCAGCTTTGTTCTTTTTGCATAGGATTGTCTTGGCTATATGGGGTCTTCTTTGATTCCACAAGAAATTTAAAATAGTTTTTTTCTAATTCTGTGAAGAATGTCAATGGTAGTTTGATAGGAATAGCTTTGAATCTGTAAATTACTTTGGGCAGTGTGGCCATTTTCAAGATACTGATTCTTCCTATCCATGAGGATGGAATATTTTTCCATTTGTTTGTGTCCTCTCTTATTTCCTTGAGCAGTGGTTTGCAGTTTTCCTTGAAGAGGTCCTTCACATCCCTCGTTAGCTGTATTCCTAGGTTAACATACTAATTTTGAATAATTGATCTCACTTTACAGCATCCTCAAATCCCAGGTAAGAAGTATTCAAAGTTCTTATTTATTTTTCTTTTATACTTAGTAAGCTTTTGAACTATATTTACTCAAACACTTTTCCCTCGAAATCAGATTTCTTATATCTTGGTCATGGGAAATGGAATGTGATTATTTTACTTCAATATAAATCATGTGGAATGGACTTAAATGTACACAGATGCTATTTTAGAATTAAAGATTTCATGGAGGTGATGAGAAGAGGAGTGTGAAAAGAAGAATTGGGGAAAAGGTCTTGGCTCTCAAGGATTAACATAATTTACTTAGAATATGGCAGAATCTGGTAGGACCAGAGGAGTAATGTTGGAAGTCCATGAGGAATATAGTCAGACCCTTGAGTAATGTAGATGAATGGAACTTCCAGCACCTGGCTCTAGAACAAATCTCTTCAGTGTATGCGGAGAGAGAACTGAAAAACCAAAGACGTTAGAAGATAATCTTTGGAGAGAGATGCAAAAGAAGGATTCAAATGAGAAAAGCCCAGAGAGTCCAAGTAAGAGACTACTTCAGGAGTACAGGCATGTAAAAGTTAATGCTGGAAGAGGCTTGAATAATTCAAAATTGTATTTTTTTTTTTTGGTCTTCATTAGATATTTTGTCTTGGAGTTTGTTGGGTATCACCCCTTCATGTTTTAGAAAAGATTGTTCCATAAATGTCATTTAGGTCAAGGCAAATGAAAGTGTTGTCTAAATCTTAATCCTTACAGATGTTCTGTGTATTTTTCTTATCAATTACTGAGAGATATATACTGCAATATCTGACTGTGCATTTGTCTATTTCTCTTTGCAGTTTTATCGGTTTGTGACTTGTGCATTTTAAATCTCTGTTATTAGGTACATAAATATTTAAGGTTGTTATAGTCTCTTGAAGGCCTGCCTCCTTTATAATTATTAAATGATCATCTTTGTCCATAGTAACATATTTGCTCCAAAATATACTGTCAAATATTACTATTATATAATATGATATCCAACTTTATTTTGATAAATATTAGCATGGTATATCTCTTTCCATTCTTTTAGTTGTAACCTAATTTTGTCTTTTTAAAGATAATTTCTTTCAGCTAGCATGTTGGTGGGTCTTGCAGGTTTTTAAAAAAAATCTAATGGGATATTTGCTATTTGCATTTAGTTGTGTGATTAGTTTTAGGGCTATCATTTTATTTCTAGCTTTTTATTTGTCCTATGGTTTCTTTAATCTTTACCTGCCTTCTTTGAATGATTTCAAATTTTTATGACTCTATTTTATCTCCTTTTTTGGTTTATTAGCTGCAATTCCTTGTTTAATTAACTTAGTGGTTGCTTTAGGGTTTATAGCCTCCATCATAGCCTTTCAAAATATATCTTAGAGTAATATAATATCACTTCATGCATAATATAAGAAACTTATCATAGTATATTGGGGGGTCTTCAGAAAGTTCATGAAAAGAACATATTATAAAAAACTATGCATGGATTTAAAATTTTTTGTACCAAAATAAACTCATACTTCCTTTTGTAATGTGTCTACACAAGATCTAACTTGAGGTCATAAGAAGACATCAGTGTAAAAAGAGCTCCTACCTAAGCAATGTGAATTCTACTAAAATTGAAGCAAAAACAAACACCAATTTTATAGTGAAGCTTGGGATGAAAAATGGTGAAATTACTGATGCTTTATTAAAATTTTATGTTGCAACAATGCTCCAAAGAAATGGATAATTCATTTTAAGAAGGGATGAGACAATGTTGAAAATGCAGTCTACAGAAGCAGACAATCCACATCCATTTTCAAAGAAAAAGTTCAATTTAATCATGCCCTAATTGAAGAAGACTGAAGGTTAACAGCACAAACAATAGCTCACACCGTAGATATCTCAATTAGTTCAGTGTACACAATTTTGACTGTAAAATTATAGTTGAGCAAACTTTCTACCCAATGGGTGCCAAAACCATTGCACCTAGATGAGCCACAGACAAAAGGAGAGCTTTCAATGGAAATTTTAAATACATGGGATCAAGATCCTGAAGAATTAATTCAAAGTATTGTAACAAGAGATGAAATATACCTTTACTAGTACAATCATGAAGACAAAGCACAGTCAAAGCAATGGAAATCAAGATGTGGAAGTGGTCCAGTCAAAGCAAAAGTGACATGGTCAAGAGCAAAGATCATGGCAACAGTTTATTGGGATGCTCAAGGTATGTCACTTGTTGAACTTCTGGAGGGCCAAAGAACAATGACATCTGCTTATTATGAGAGTGTTTTGAGAAAGTTGGCCAAACCTTTAACAGAAAAGCACCTGAGAAAATTTTACTAGAGAACCCTTCTCCATTGCAACAATGCTCCTGGCTCATCAAAGGGGCAGTTTTGTGACAGTTTTAAAGGAAAACCAGTAGGCGCTCACCTCACAGTCCTGATTTGGCTCCTTCTGACATCGTTTTGTTTCCTAATCTTAAAAAATTCTTTAAAGGCCACCCATTTATTTTCAGTGTATAAAATAAAAAATACTATGTTGACATGATTAAATTCCTAGTACCCTCAGTTCTCTAGGGATGGACTAAATGGCTAGTATTATAACTTACAAAAGTGTCTTGACCGTGATAGAGCTTGTATTGAGAAGTAAAGTTTATGTATTTTATTTTCTCTTTTCATTTAATTTTTCACAAACTTGTTGAAGTCCCCTTTCATTTCTCCTGAAATTTGTGCTGTTACAGTCACAGAATTTGCTGTTATATATGTAAATAAACATCCCCACTAAATTATTTTTGTAAAAACACTCAATTATCTTTTAAAGAGATTAAAATAATAGAAAATATCTTATATATTTACTTTTGTAGTTACTCTTCGTTCTTTTGCGTAAATGTAGATTTTTAGATTAAATGATTTTTCTACTGTCTGAAGGATAACTTTTTAACCTTTCTTGAAATGTGGGTCTGTTAGTGATTAATTAATTTTTCTTTAGTGTGTCAGAAAAAGTATTGATTTCATCTCTATCTTCATAGATATGATTGCTGGGAAAAGAATTCTAAGTTGATAGTTTTATTCTTTTAGCACTTTAAATATGTCGCTTCACTATCTTCTTGCTTATCTTATTTCCAACAAAGTTTCTGCTGTCCATTTTTACCTTTCTCTTTCTCTTTTTTCTTTTTCTTTCTCTCTCTCTCTTTCCTTTCTTTCTTTTTTCTTCCCTCCCTCCCTCCCTCTTTCTTTCCTTTCCTTTCCCTTCCCTTCCCTTTCCCTTCCCCTTCCTACCTTCCTTCCTTCCTCCCTCCCTCCCTCCCTTCCTTTTAACTTGAGACAGAATCCTGCTTTGTCACCCAAGCTGGAGTGCAGTGGTGTGAACTTGGCTCACTGCAACTTCCACCTCCCAGGTTCAAGCGATTCTCCTGCCTCAGCCTCCCCAGTAGCTGGGATTACAGGTGCACACCACCAAGGCTGGTTAATTTTTGTATTTTTAGGAGAGACAGGGAACATGTTGACCAGTCTGGTCTCGCACTCCTGACCTCGAGTAATCTGCCTGCCTCGGCCTCACAAAGCGCTGGGATTACAGGTTTGAACCACTACATCGGCCCATAATGTGTACCTTTAAGTATTTTGTTTTATCACTGGTTTTGAGCAATTCAATTACTGTGGGGCTTAGTGCTGGGGGCTTATTGAGATTTTAGGATCTATTTTTATTTTAAACTAATTTCGAGATTATTCATTCATCATGTTTTTGAAGCCAGTTTTCTCTTGTCTGTCTGCATTTTCAGAATTGTAACTACATGTACATTAGGTCATTTGAACCTATCTCACAACTCATAGATTATCTTTTCTTTCATTTTAATTTTATATTTGTTTCGTTTTTTATGATTGTTATTGCTATACCTTCAAATTCACTATTTATATTTCTGCAATATTGTATCTTCCATAACTCCCATTCAGTGTATATTTCTTCATAGAAATTATAATTTTAATCTCTAGAAATTGGACTTTTTTTTTTTTTTTTTTTTTTTTGAGACGGAGTCTGGCTCTGTCACCCAGGCTGGAGTGCAGTGGCGCAATCTCGGCTCACTGCAAGCTCCGCCTCCCGGGTTCACGCCATTCTCCAGCCTCAGCCTCCCGAGTAGCTGGGACTACAGGTGCCCGCCACCATGCCTGGCTAATTTTTTGTATTTTTAGTAGAGACGGAGTTTCACTGTTAGCCAGGATGGTCTCGACCTTCTGACCTCATGATACACCTGCCTCGGCCTCCCAAAGTGCTGGGATTACAGGCGTGAGCCACCGCGCCCGCCCTTGACTTCTCTTTTTTTATAACTTCTTTGTTTCCACTTATTTTTTGGCACATATAAAATAGTTATGAAAATCATCTTAATCTTCTTTTCTACTAATTCTAACACCTGTGTGCTTTCTGGGTCAGTGTCAATTAATTTACTTATCTTCTCGTTATAGTCATATTTTCTACTTATTTGCATGTCTAATATGCCTAATAACCTTTTATTGTATGTCAGACATTGTAAATTTTACTATGTATGTGCTGGCTACTTCTATATTCTTGTAAATATTGTTAAATCTTGTTCTGGGACACAGTTATGGAATGTGGAAATGCTTACATATGTCCTTCCAGGTCTTACTTTTACCATTTCTTATGTGGGAATGTATCAGTGCTCAGTCTAGGGCTATTCCCCTGTGTATTGTACCCAGTGTTCCATGAATTGTAAAGTTTTCCAGTATGGCTATTGGGAAAAAGCACTATTTCCAGCTCTCTATAAGTGCCAACACTATTACCTTTCACATTTCTGGGTAGTTCTTTCCCTGGTCTCAGGTTGTTGCAACTCATAGATGCTCTGATACTTAATGAGGATGCTTTACAGATACATATAATTTTCTCTGAGTGAAGCTATCTCTTCTGTTCCTTGGTTCTGGGAACTCTGTCTATCAACGGATCTCACGTTCTTGGCCTTGTCTCCCCAATTCAGGGGGATAGCTGCAAGCAGCCTGGCCTTTACTATGTACATTGCTGCCAGGAAACTTTCAAAAGGCAGTAAGGTAGGCTCATAGTAGAACTTGCTGAGTTGGTTTGCCATCTCTCAGGCCTGATGTTTTTGATGCCTTTGTTACCTGATGTCCCATGTCATGAAAAACCGTTGCTATATCTATTTTGCTTTTTATGATTTTTGTTGTTATTTTAGGTCAAAGGTAAATGTAGTCCTTGTTATTTCATTTTTATCAAAGCAGAAATATTTTATTTTTCAGGGCTGAACTCAAATTTCACTGCATCAAAGAGGCCTGCTATGAACTTTCTTCTCCTTACCTTTCCCTCATGTCGTTAGTTATTACATTCTTTATGTATTTCCTTTATATCAACTCTTCCAATTTATAATTATTTTTAATTATTGGCATAGTTATCTTTCTTCTTTTAACTAGACAATTTTTGTCATCACAGCATGGACCAAAATTCCAGCAATTATGTGTATGGTATAAAATAATTGCTTATTAAATATTAGCTGAGTTGGTGAATAAATCTCAATCATGTTATTCTCTCTTCTACTTGTATTTGCCTCTCTTCTTAATCAAAATTTAACATTCACTGTTTATCAAACAACTTTGTTAACCAGAATATTGGGTTAAGCAAAGAGACAAATTGCATTTCCCTGGGCCTCATTTTTGCAATGCAGTCACTCAGCTGGATGAATTACACTCAAAAGCAGGATACAAAGCTGAATATTCGCCCATGGAAAGAATTTCACATGCACAATTGTTTGAAAACCATCCATGCTGCCTTCTTACTTCCTCTAGAACTGCTCCCTGAATTTTACCCTCGAAACAAGTTTACTTGAGTGAGAATTGGAAAATAAGTAGGAGCTTGTCAAGAGGTAAACAAGGCAAAGTAAACTCTCCTAGTAATGACACAGGAGGTGACATATGTCTCATGCTACATATGACCTTTCTGTCCCTCCAGCAACACGTATTACTCTGAGAAATGAACACAGTTAAAAGGAGAAAAAAACTGAGCCATCAACCTGAGACACTGTTTAGTAACAACTAGCTTGTTTACAGCTCTTTCTCTAACATAAAATGCTGTTCAACTTTTTGAATTATTTCTCTCACCTTTCTTTTAAGCAGAGAACTCCAAAGCTAGATATAATCTGCAGATAATATTACTTTGAAATTGTCTACATTTACTGAACACATAGTAGTCCTCTTTTATCCATGGGTGATATGTTCTAACACCCCCACTGGATGCCTGCAACAAGGAATAGTACCAAATTCTATATATATTACTTTTTCCTATACATATGCACCATGATAAAGTTTAATTTATAAATTAGACATAACAAGAGATTAACAGCAATAACTAATAATAAAATAGAAAATTATAATAATATACTGTAATAAACATCATGAAAATGTGGTCTTTCAAAATAATTTAGTCATATTTTCTTTTCTTCTTCTTGTGATGGTGTGAGATGATAAAGTGCCTGTGACGATAAGATGAATGAGGTGAATGATACAGGCATTGTGACATAATATTAGGCTACTATTGACCTTCCGGGGATACAGCCAAAGGAGGATCCTTTGCTTCAGATGATCCTGGATCATGGAGCCATGAAGATGTTGATAGTTGGATATCAGGAACAGATGATGTCAATCACTAATGGGTAAGTCACATCTGCCTCATGGAAACATTGGACAAAGAGATTATTCACATCCCAGGCAGGATGGAGCTGGATAGTGTAAGATTCCATCAAGCTACTCAGAATGACGTGCACTTTAAAATGTATAAATTGTTTATTTCTGATATTTTTTATTTAATATTTTCAGATCACAGTTGACCAGGGGAAACTAAAATCATGGGAAACAAAACCATGGATAAGGCAGTACTACTGTATACAGTTGGCCCTCCATAGCCATGCACTCTGCATCAGTGGATTCAATCAGCCATGGATAAAAAAATGTTTGAAAAGTTTAAAAGAATGGTTGTTTCTGTACTGAACAGGTAAACACATATTCCTTGTCACTGTCCCCTAAACAACGTAGTATGACAACTATTTACATGGCATTTACATTACATTAGTATTATAAGTAATCTTGTGATGATTTAAAGTATACAGAAGAATATGTGTAGGTTATATGCAATTACTACTCCATTCTATATAAGGATCTGTAGCATCTGCATAATATAATATCCATGAAGTGTCCTGAAATCAATCCCTCATGGATACCAAGGGACAACTATATTATATTTAAATGGACTAAGAAGGAGAAGAATCAATAATTATTAAGGAACAACTAATTTCCAGAGGTCCTTTAATTTAGGGAAATGGATATGTAAAAAAACAGACACTGGATTTATGTAGGTCACTATCTGATAAATAGACTACTAGCTCTAGAAATTCAAGGGGTATTTGTGTAGGATAAAGTATTATGGGGTGAGAACAGACATGTTATGGACTCTGAGGGCACAGAATATAATACTGGAAATTTAGAAAAAGATTTTACTTAATCTTTTTGCAATAAAAATTGTATATGTGCAAACAAATGCTAATATAATAGAAATACCAGGGATTATAGGAGTCAAAATATTCAGTGACGTTCAGTGTGTTATCTAAGATCACATGGCTAATAAGTATAAGAGCACAGATTTAAAGCCAGGTCTCTCACATAGAAAAGGTGAGGCTCTTTGTTCTACCAGATTACTGAAAAATAGCAATATTCCTTGTTCTTAAAATAAGAATCTCCTCTTTTTGTGGTACAGGTTAGGTGTTCAAGCTGTGTTAAATCACATCCCTGATGTTTATGTGGTCAGGATATGTGCCCTTGAGTGACCAAGCAGAAGTGAGTGGAACTTTCTACCATGCTTTGTATGCTAAGACTTCCATCAACGAGTGATTTTCTTGCTTTAAATTTAATGCTGACTCCATTCAAGCAGAAAATAGATTTGAAGACAATGAAAAATGTGCCACTTTATTTCCCTAAGGCCTTCTCTGCACAGTAGGCCTTGAACAAAAGTAATTTCATAAGGAGAGACAAACAACTAAGTGAATCTTCAAATACAAAAATTTATTGTTTTTTTTTGCTAAATTATTTTACTAAGTATTGATTTTCTGATTCTTATTATCCATCTTCAGATCACAAGGCTTAGTGTAGAATTTGCTTACACTGTGATAACAAAATTCATAATCAAATGGGAAGAGGAAATAATCCTACCGTGGTGCATGCCATTTTTCTATCCAAGGGAACCTCGTAAGTTGCTGATAAGAATAAATTGCAGTGAATGAGAAAATCATGAAAAGTCAAAAATTAAAGGATCCTTAGTGATAACCTGGCACAGTGATTATTTTTTCCCTTCCAAGGGGAGGAACATTTTATTTTTTGAATTGGAACATTTTTGTTGCTGTTTTTCTACATGGTCACCATGTTTTTAGAATATCTTCTAATGTAGTAACATTGTATTTATTGAGAAATAACGGCTAATACTGAATTTGTTCAATTTCAAAAATGGGAAAATGTGCAGAGTGTATGATCATAAACAACAGTGGTAACAATAGCAAGCAAAACAACTCTCTGGGAAATCCAAATAATTCCTGACCTTCAAGAAAACCTAGCAGGTCTGAGGAGGTGATTGTCATAGTTGATTCCAGTGGGGTCTACGATAGCATATCCCCTCAAACAAAGTTGAAAGAGAAAGGGACAGTTGATTCCTTTATGGAGTAAAGACCATAGAATAAGATCAAACTGAGAGGCCAGATTGTGCCTTCAAGAGCATGGAGAGAAATCTGAGAAATACATGACAATGGATTTGACAAGTGAGCATATGGAGGTAGAAGGAATTAGTAAGTTTAAAATGGAAGAAAGTTGAGATTTAGAAAGATACCTTTACAAAATTCCTGGATTGTCCATTTCTAGTGTCCCTTCACTTGCTGGTGCCTCATAAGTACAATAGCTTAAATGTCTAGAGAGAAGGAGGCCATGTAGGAGACTTTAAGTTATATACAACCTCTAGGTGTCTTTGTTGGGCCCACAAAGTGCTTATAGCTTCTATTTGCTGTGTCTCTAGAACATTTTGCAAGAAGTGGGACTTGTGTTACTGTATGGTTCCAGTTTTCAATGCTCATGTGGTGGCTTCACCCTTTAAATAGCACAGTAGGTATGCTTTCCAATTTGAAGACTCCAATATTCTCTGTTGTCTGACAATCAGTCAACTTAACTTGTTTAAATAATTTGTCTGGCCTCTGATGCATTTGAATTTGTCATCTGATAGAAACTGCTATGATATTTGAATTTTAAGGCAAAGTTACCAGGTTTTAATGAGCACCTAAGATCTTGCTGAAATGTAGGTTGAAATTCCCTAGGTCCAGGATACTCCTTAAGGCTTGTCCGTCTAACAGGCTCCCAGGTGATGCCAATACTGATGTTACACAGACCATACTTCAAGGAACAAAGACTTAAAGCAAGTGTCTTCTTCTGGGGCCTGAGAAAAATGTTTATGTGAAGGTGATTTATTTGGTAATATGATACCAGGGAATAGGAATACAGGGCAGGTAAGTGACACAGAGAAGGAATAAAAGCCAATACAAGGATAGATGATCAAGTTGGCCGCTAGTGTGAATAACTAGTGACCAGTCCCACTGGGAATTTTTGCAGAGCTTTATGAAATATATGTCAAAATTTGCTGCCTTGGGGATAATAGGGGGAAAATTTCTATCAGATTTTGTTCCCATTGGCCAAGGGTGGGTCCATGAGCCCGCACTTCCAGGTTGCACATGAATGCTTGCAGAGACTTTTACTATGACAGTCCCATCTTTACACATCAAATGAATCCCCAGAGTATGAAACAGAAATAGTTACAACATGGACCAAGACAATGTGCTGTTCAAGTTGCTCCTCCAGGAAACTAGTCAAGGCCTACTTAAATCAGTTGTCACAGAAACTATGAACGACTAAGAAGATTTTGAAGTGATGCATGAGAACTCTAAGATGCTTTAGTATGACTATACAATGCCCTGAGCTGGAGCACTTGGCCACAAAACTCATGTCTCTTGGAGGCAAAAGCCAAATGACCTTTCCAGCAGTATGCAACATTGCTTTTCCCAAAGCAAAATCATGATTTTGCCATGCTAATGGTAAAACCATAGGCACATTGCCAGACAATGTTTCTAGGAAGAAAAGAATGTTTTGTTTTGTTTTTCTTCTTTTAAGATTAATAGATGACCTTTAAGGGACTGGTAAAAGTTAGTGTAGCCTCTTCTTCTTCCAGAGTTTCTGTGGCCCCTTCGTGCCTTCCAGTTCATGAAATGGTCACTAGTTGGCAGAGAATCAGACCCAAATCTTCTTTCTACTCTCTAAATGGAAGCCATACTCTGTAGTGGAATTATTATGCACTATTAGTACATGATACATGTGCACATACAGATGTATAAGAAATCTCTCTCCTTTGAAGGAGTATTCCTTTTAGCATTCCTGATAATGCTACTGAACCAAACTATGTCTGTATTCCCTATGGGAGTCCAAAAGCTTATCACCACTACCAAAACAATGGCTAGAGAAACTAAGCACCCGTGGGTTGTAGGTGGTTCACCCTTTCACTTTTTAAACTATATATCTAAAACCAGAGTGGAATGACAGCTTATTAGAGCAATGTGACATTCTTTATGTAATTAGAATGTGTCCAAACATTTATTCTGTGCAATAAACATTTAAACCAGAATTCACTGTTTTTTTTCAGGTTGGGATAGATATGTTCCCTGCTTAACTGTTATGATTGCATTACTCTGCCCTCAGGATGAAAAAGGGTTATTGAAACCTAGGGGACTTTGAGTGTGTCAGTAGCACATAGACAATCTTACCCATGAGTTTCTAGCTGTTTTGTACTGTAAGAAACTGACATATTCACAAACTGATGGGATTAAATGGAGCATCAAGTGACCTACATTTGGCAAGAAGCCATGTTGTATAGGGACAGGAGCTTTGGCACAAGCGTGACAATAAATTCTCTGTATTTTTGAATTGGATTCCAGCTCATCTTTAAAACAAAATTTGGGACTTCATATTTATTTTCTAGATTCTAAAACCCCAGTTTACAGTTTTTTTTGTTTGTTTGTTTGTTTGTTTGTTTGTTTGTTTTGAGACTGAGTCTCGCTCTGTTGCCAGGCTGGAGTTTAGTGGCGCAATCTCAGCTCACTGCAACATCCGCCTCCCAGGTTCAAGCCTTTCTCCTGCCTCAGCCTCTTGAGTAGCTGGGACTACAGGTGCGTGCCACCATGCCTGGCTAATTTTTTGTATTTTTAGTAGAGATGGGGTTTCACTGTGTTAGCCAGGATGGTCTCCATCTCCGGACATCATTATCCACCTGCCCCAGCCTCCCAGAGTGCTGGGATTACAAGCATGAGCCACCGCGCCCAGCCTCCACATTCTTAAAGTAAGCAAAATATTATTCTTGCTCATCCTCAGGATTGTCAAGGAAAACAAATATTTTAGTTTTGCCTCATACCACACACTGGGTGAAAAAATAACAGATCAAGAGATGGTAAGGTGCTTATAACCAAAAAAGGACTACATGGGGGTTGTTGTGTATTTTGGCAAACCATGAAGGAGGTAGTATATGTATTTAACTCATTAATTACATCCTATAATTTACACCACCTTTTCAATGCCCCTTTTACTACTTCATGGTCACTTTACTATTTTCAAAAGTCTTCTTCACTTCGGTGCTTCATGAGAAATCAACGACCACAAAAGATAATGATAATGTTGACAAAGGTAACAATGATGACATAATAGTTTGTGTGTGAATATTACAATTTTAAAACCATGTTAGTATCTATTGCTCCTACAAATGGCCAGATAAACAAGTCTTCATTTTTCATATTGTCCATGAAGTTCTGAAAGAATAAGTCCCTTGATCTCACTTGCAGAATTAATAAGGTGTAGCTTCAGAACTTCAACTAGGTGTGTCTGGCTCCAAGGTCATTGTTGTTTTTAATGTCACCACAATGATTGCACAATCATTACTTCAATCCAGCATTAGTTATTCTTTCAAAAACCAGGCAGGAACTTCAACCTTCTTAAAGGCACAAAAATTTCTAGAACATCTGAAGATTGCACAAGCTCATTAAGATAACTATATTATTTTCGTGGTGTCCCATATTGAAGAGTGTCCATGAGTCATTCACTAGAATTCTATGGAAAGAAATAGAAATCTTCATAAAATAGTATGTGCAGAGTAGCTACAGATTGGACTTGAACTTTATGTCCACCGTAGACAGGAATAAGATGCAAATTATAATTCAACAATAAATTAGGCTCATTATAAGGAAATTATTCTCAAATTTAAAGTTACTTAATACTAGCATGAGTTCTTTTCTAATTTTTTTAGGAGGCCCATATATGGCTACTTCTAACTGCCAAGAACTCACATTAGAAATAGTATTGGCTGTCTTAGGAGACAGCAAACTCCCTTATGATAGAATGTAAAATCACCAAATTGGGTTAGTGTTAGGCAACTTCAAACTGCTGTGGAGAACTGGATTAAATAACCTTTAATTTACTTTTTGCCTCTGATAATAAGTGATTCTCACAAAATCCATTTCCTTGAAATCTCAGACCTACTAGGCAGAGAGTAGTAGGTGGCTTTAGAGAAAACCATGGATAATATTCCTAAGGAAAGAGTCAGCTCACCTGTTCATGCTGATAGCTAGCACTGAACAAGGTATGCAAACTATGGTGGCATATCCTCCATCATCTCAGGATATGAATGAACAAATCACTTTTATGTCTCCTTCATCTTTTATTAGAGTAAGAAATCTGTCAATATAATTAAGTAGATCTACTTATTTAAATGAAAGAATAGGCATTTATTGAGTATCACTTAGTATGCAAGCACTGGGCCAGTTTTAGAGATTCGGAGAGAAAGAATAAACTTATCTTACAGTTTTTTGTTTGCTTTTTATGTTTTGTTTTGTTTTGTTTTTGAGACAGAGTCGTATGCTTGTTGCCCAGGCTGGAGTGCAATGGCACAATCTCTGCTCACCGTAACCTCCACCTCCAGGGTTCTAGGGATTCTCCTGCTTCGGCCTCCCGAGTAACTGGGATTACAGACACCCACCACCATGCCTGCCTACTTTTTGTATTTTTATTAGAGACAGGGTTTCACCATGTTGGCCATGCTAGTCTCGAGCTCCTGACCTCAGGTAATCCACCCACCTTGGCCTCCCAAAATGTTGGGATCACAGGCGTGAGCCACTGCGCCCAGCAAAGTTCATATTTTTATGGAGGCAAATGTAGGCATCTAACCTAAGAGGTAGCAGATGGGAGAATGTTTCTTTTATTAGTGATAAGAAATATGTGAATCAGTTAAGAAAACTTCAGCCTCCCCACACACATAATTAAACCTTCCCAGTTACTGCCTTTCTACATATGATAAAAATGCAGTCACCTTATTTCCAAGTCCCTATTTTATCTTCGTCCAGTACACTCTGAAAATCCCATCTTATATACCATACTTCACTGCATTTGCTGTGTTCTAGCAACTCACATGGGTATTTTTTCTGCTTTTTAAATAGATCAGGCTCATTCTTTCCTCTGCTTGGAATGTTTTACCTCGATTCTTCAAATGATTGGATTCTTCTAAACAATTTTATTTCAGCTTAAAGTCATCTCCTCACAATGATATTCTTGAATGATTACACATTATAAAGTACCCTTTCACAAGACTCCCTCAGTAACAGACCAACATGATACAATTTCTTCCTAACGTATATTATTTTCTGACATAAGCTTGCATTCATATGGTTATCATTTTTTGTCTTTACATCTTCCAACTCCACTACACAGTGCTTGTGTGTGTGTGTGTGTGCATACACACACACACACACACACACACACAGAGAAACAAATTATATTAGAGTGAGATGTGCATAGATCATGTTCTCCATACCCTTAGTACCTGGTACATTGTTTGGCATAATAGGTGGGTGACAAATATGTAAAAAAGAGCTGCATTAAAGCAAAAAATTGAATATACAGTGTAAACAAAGAACTAGGGATAAGAAGTAACAGTAGGCATTCAGAGAGATGGAAAGTATAATAAAGTTTCAAAGAAAACCTAAAAATCAGAACAAAACATGGAAATGAGAACTTTCATAGATTTATCAGTAGAATGCATGACAGAGAGATGAATCAGAGAGCTTGAGATAATCCAGTAGAAACCTTCCAACATGCAGTTAAAAAAAAGAGCAGACACCCAAGAACAGTGGGATAATTTCAAAATGTCTAACAGACATGCAATTGGAATAGCAGAAGCAGGAAACAAAAGAACACAACAGAAGAAATACTTGAAGTAATAATGACTGAATTTTTCAAAATGAATGACAAACATGAAACTATAGATTCAGTAAGCTCAGAAAACACCAAGAAGGATTTAAAAAAAAAAAGAGTTGTATCATATGCAAACTATAGAAACCCAAGACAAAGATAATATTGTGACAGAAGACAGGGAATAAACCTTTTATTTACCTATAGAATTAAAGAAATAGCCATTACGCTGAATGTGTTTTCAGAAGCTGTGCCAGCAAGAAAAGAGTAGAATTAAATATTTAAAGTTTTGTGAGAAAAACAACCCTCCAACCTAGAATTCTATCCCAATAAAATTATCCTTCAAAAGTGAAGGGAAAATAGAGCCTTTCTATGACAAACAAAAACTGAGGGAACTCCTTGCCAGTAGAACTGTCCTGCAAAAAAATTTTCAAAAAGTTCTTTAGGGATGATTTAAATAAAAAAACTGAAACTTAAATCTACATAAATATAGAAGAAGCATCTGAAAATAATAGATGAAAGAAGAATAAAATATATTTTTTCATGTGAAGAGTTACAGTTTCATATGAAGATAGGCTTAGTTAAAAATGTATATTGTAAACTCTAGGGTAATGACTAAAAATAAAAAGAAAATATCTTGGTATGCTAAGAAATTAGATTAAATAGAATCATATAAAATAATCAGAAGCAGAGATGACATTAAAAGTTGAGGGCTGGAAAGAAACAAAGAATTGTAACAAATAAGAAATAGTTAAAAATATAGATATTAATCCAAATATGTCAATAATCACTTATTATATAGATAATATAAAATTCTAATTAAAAGACAGTCAAGGTGAATGAGAAAGCCAAATATATGGTGTTTTCAAGAAACTAATTTAAGTACAAATATTTATATATGTTAAGTGTAAGGGGATAAAGAAAGATATTTCATACTAACACTGATCTAACAAAGCTGGAGTATCTGTATTAGTTGCACACAAAGCAAATCTCAGGACATGGAAAATTGTCAGGGATAAATATGGCATTAATATAATAATTCAATTCTCCAAAAAGTTCAGTTCTCCAAAAAGTCATTAGAATCCTAGGTGTAGGTATGCACCTACAATCCTAAAGGTGTACACACCTAACAACAGAATATTAAAATATGTGAGATGAAAACTGATAGAATTGTGATAAACTATGTCAGATGAAAACTGATAGAATTGTGAGGATTAATAGACAAATACAGTATTATAGTTGAAGACTTCACCATGCCTCTTTCAGTAATTGATATAATAGGAAGGCAGAAAATCATTAAGGGAATAGTTGGCTTGTCAGGCACTATCAATCAACTTAATCTAATGAACATTTGTTGGGATATTCTATTCAGCAATAACACAATACACATTTCTCCCAAACTTCTCAGGTAATATTCAGCATCATAGAACATATTATGGCAAATAAGACACACGTTAACAAACTTAAAAGAAAGAAGTTATACAAAGTATGTTCTTAGACTACAATGGAATTAAACTAAAAATCAAAAAGAGAAAGATAACTAGAAGTTTCCTAAACATCTGGAGATTAAAAAAAACTTCTAAAGAACATACATAACAAAAAAGACTTAAGATATGTTAATATATTATATACAATTTTCACATTATATAATACACTGAGATATATATATGAGGTATTAATATATATTGAATTAAATCAAAATGAATTTACAACTTATCAAAATTTGTGAGATATAACAATATTAGAGGTTAGAGGGAAATTTATTGCATCCAGTGCATATATTAGACAAGAATAAAGATCTCAAATAAATAATGTAAAAGTTTTCACTTTAGAAAACTAGCAAAAACTAGACCTAAAACATGCAGAAAACAATAAAAGTTAGAGCAGAAATAAAAGATATTAATGAACAGAAAACAGTAAAAGAAATAGACAAACCCAAAAGTTGATTCTTTGAACAAATAAATAAAATCGATAAATGTAAACTTGGCTAACCAAGAATAAAAAAGAGAATATACAAGTTACAAACATCAGAACTGAGATGGGGATGAATCATTAATGGCCCTATGGATATTAAAGGAATAACAATGGAATGTTACAAAAAACTCTGTGACTTTAAATTTTATTATTTAAATAAAATTGACCAGTTTCTTAAAAGACATAAAACACAAAACTCGAATGTGGATAAATATATAATCTGAATAGGCCTATGTCTATTTAAAAAATTCAATGAATAATTTATAACCTTCCAAAAAATAAAGCCCCCTACCCAGATCGTTTCACTGGTGAATTCTACCAAACATTTATTGAAGAAATAACCCCAATTCTCCACAAAGTTGTCCAGAAAATAGAAACAGAGAGACAACTTCTTAAATCAATGTATGAGACCAGCATTATCCTGATACTGAAACAAGACAAAGGCATTATAAGAAAGGAAATATACATATCTATACCTCTCATGAACTTGGATGCAAAAAATTGTCAGTGAAATATAAGCAAATCAAGTTACACAAAATAAAAAAAGAATTATATACCTCCAACAAGTGGGATTTATTCTGGGTATGCAAGGCCGGTTGAGAATTCATAGATTAATCATTGCAATGAACTATGTGAACAGGATAATGGAGGATAATTTATATGATTACATCAATTGTTTTTTAAAAAGACATCTGACAATAATATATTTTTAAAAGTCTCAGAAAATTAATAATAAAGGCAAACATTCCTGATTTAACAAAGAACATTTACCAAGAAACAAACAAACAAATGAATAAAAATTAAACAAAACTAACATTATACTAAATGCTACGAGACTGAACAGGACAGGGAAAAGGCAAGAAAGTTATCTCACCAATTCAGTTCAGTATTGTACTGAACATTTCGGACGGTTCAAATACAAAAGAAGGGAAGGAAAAAGTAAACAGAATCAAAAGTAAGATTTGGAAAACCGCAGATGAGTTATCAGAATGACTTCTGTAAACAATAAGCAAGCATAGCAAGGCCACTGAATATTTTCTATAGTTAATATAGAAAAACTTATTTTTTTTGTATCAGCACAGAAATCAGAATTTGAAGTAAAAATAATGATAATACCATTTACAATAACACCAGATTAAAAAATACTGGTATAAAGCTAACAAATTGTGTGCATTACTTATGTGCAGAAAACTACATAGTTCTGATTAAAGAAACCAAAGTAGTTCCAAATAAATTAGAGATATTTCATTTTTATGTATTCAAAGATTTAATATTGTTAAGATGTAAACTGAACGAAATTTGATTTATAGATTTAACACCATCCCAATCAAAATCCTAATATTCTATTTTGTATGTACTGACAACTGATTCTAAAGAGTATGTGAAATATCAGACGGCCTAGGATAAGCAACACAATACTGCAGAAAAAACAAGAGTTAGAGAACTAACACTTCCTGGCGTGAAGACTAAATATAAAGCAAAAATAATGAAGATGATGGTATTGACAAATGGAGACATCAATCAAGGTAATAAAATAGAGTCCAGGAATAGAATTGCACAAATATAGCTGACTCATCTTTGACAAAGAAGCAAAGCCGATTTTATGAAAAAAGGATAGTTTTTTAAAAAAAATCAATGATGTTGGAACAATTAGACATCTATATTCAAAAAAACAAATCTAGACACTGACCTTATACCTTTCACAAAAAGTAATCTGAAATGAATAATAGACTTAACCATTAAATGTAAAACTTCTAGAATAAAAGACAGGAGAATAGGTGACTTGGGATATAATAGGGACATTTTAGACACAACACTGAAAGTATAATCAATGAAAGAAGAAAAAACTGATGTTACACTTTATTAAAATGAAAACTTCTGCTATAAGAAAAACACTGTTAAGAAGACTTAAAAATAAGCCACAAACTGAGAGGAAAATTTTTGCAAAACATGTTTTTAATAAAGGATGTGTATGCAAAATATGCACCACTTTACTTAAAAAAAGATCCCTTAAAATAAATAAGGAAACAAACAATCTGACTAAAAGTGATCAAAAGATATGAACACCTCATAAAAGAAAGAAGATATGGACATGACAATCAAATGAAAAGATGTTCAACATCATATGTTGTTAGGGGATTGTAAATTAAAATAATAAATTGATACAACTACATACTTATTAGAATTGTTTTTAAAAATTGACCTTAAGATGATGACAATATCAAAACAACAACCACAACCACAACAAAAATCTTGATCATCCAAATACACTGGCCATACTAATTTCTGATGAGGATGCTGTACAACAAAATCTCTTATTCATTGCTGGTGGGAATGCAAAATGATATTACCACTTTGAAAGCCTGTATGGCCATTTCTTACAAAACTAAATATAGTCTTAACATATGACTCAGCAATATAATTCCTAGCTATTTACCAAAAAAAAAAAAAAAAATTAAAAACTATGTGCACACCAATACCTACACATGAATGTCTATATCAGTTTACCCATAATTGCCAAAAAGTTTGTAAGAAGTAATAAGCAATCAAGATAAACTTCAATAGGTAAATGGGTGAACTAAATATGGTGCATCTATGCAATAGAAGAGTATTCAGCAATAAGCTGAAATGAGCTATCTAACCACAAAAGACAGGGATGAAGCTTAAATATCCATTGCTAGTCCAAAGAAGCAAGCCTGAAAAGACTGTATAGTGCATGATTCTAATGATATGACATTCTATAAAAAGCAATAAACAAGCAACGAACAGATCAGTAAGAGGAGAGGACTGAAGAGTTTAATCACCCAGCAATTTTTAGGATGGTGAAGCTATTTCCTCTGATACTGAAATTGTGGACAAATGGCATTAGGCATTTGTTAAAACACAGAGCATGGTACAGCACAAAGAATGAACCCTAATGCAGGAAAGTTACAAATAATATAATCTAGAAGGTCTGGAGAATCCTATGTGGTAAGGAGACAATAGCAAAACAGTCTACTGGATTACAAATATATGGAACAACCTCACTGAAAAGGCCAGAGAAAAATGTGACCTAAGAAACTTCGGAAATGAGAGGAATCTATAAAACTAAAACAACTATGAAAATAAAAACTATAAAAAAGCACTGTATTCTAGCTGATATAGTCAGTTCTCATAGAGGTAGGTTTAACAATTCAGATAATTAAATAAAAGAATTATGTAATGGAACACTTAAGTACATAAATAATACATACTGGTAGCCAGGCTTCCCATCATTGGAGTTGGAGTTTAGGGATAAGTAAGTGGAAGTGCCTATAATGATTATAACAATTATATAGGGATTAGAGTTGAGGACACGAAGATGAAATAATGTTTGGATCAAAATGGATAAAGAAGATTTTATGTATAAATATAGACATGTGTATACACACATCTATTTTCTTGTTCTTTCAACTGAGAGAGTCTAGAAGCAACAACACCTCAGTAGCAATGAATTCATCCAGCACCCTGATCTTGGTTTCTAATACTGCTACTAAACAAAAGGAACAGGCAAGGCCTCCCTAGAAAAATTGCTGAGCTTTTTGGGAGCCAAGATGACCAACGAGACACAGCAGGAGGAACATCTGCCATTGAGAGACTGGGACATCAGGAAGACTGACACACTCCAAGCAGTTCTTTGGAGGGAAGACATTGAGAATGGGTGGAGGGAGGACACAGATGCCAGGCTAAAGGGGAAAGAAACTGGGAACACCGCATGGGACTAACAAGCACCAGTACTTGTTCGTGGCCCCCAGTGACTCCTGGGAAGGGGTGAGTAGAACAGGTAAGGAGTGACTCACTGTTGCCACAGACCTCTAGAATGCTGGCAGCAGGAGACCCCATGACCCCCATGGATACTTGAGCTCACAAGGAAAGCTGCTTAGAGAGGTGGCAAGGACAGGACTTCAGTCTGCATGGAGCCCAGAGAGTTTGGTGTAGGAATGTCTGTTGTGGAGCACAGCCTGGAATAACAAGTACCCAAGGCTCACCATCCTCCTCTAGAAGACTTTAGCCTTAGCATGAATCAGACCTGGACAGAGAGCAGAGCAGTCTTGCCCATGAGATAGGGCCAGTCCAATCAGAGTGCCTCCCAGTCTGCTGGCTTCTCCTAGGGCCCTAGCCTAGTTACGCCTGCTTGTAGCACAGCCTCAGATGGTCAAACAGGCTGTTCCCAGGGACCTTCATCATAGCTCTTTTGCCAGCAGACCGCACTTGACCACTGGAGAGCTGCAGTAGAGGGACCCCCACCAATGCACACCAGCCCACCCACATCCTCCCACCACCTCAGCCTCCCCCACACCTGCTTGCTGGCATGTACTTGACCGCAGCCATACCCCATCACGTTGCTGGTGGATGGCACAGGCTGACCTAGCGTACCTTCCCCCTCCAGTGTATATGTGCCCATGCACTGCATTGTGCCACTGCTTGCTGCTGGCATAAGCACAACAAACCGTCTTCTCTCTCCCCACTGACACACAGGCACCAGACCACACCTCAATTGCAAGTGCCAATATGTGCATAGACTCTGGCAATCCCATCACCTCTCCTTCCCCACACAGCCACAGCTACCAGGGTGAATGCGTGTAAGGATGCCAGTGGCCCCACCCGCCCTGCACCAGCACTGCCACTAGTGCAAATACACGCATGGAGGCTGGTAGCCTCGCACCCACCAGTGCCCTGACCCTGCTGCTGCTGCTGCTGCTACTGGTACAAGTGCAAGCACAAACACCAGCCACCTCACTCCTGCCAATGCTCTGTCTCTGCTCATGTGAGCAAGTGCAGGAATGTCACAGCCCCGCTACTAATGGTATCTGACCCAAGACAACACATGTGAACAGTGACACACTGCTGCGACTGCTGGCATGTGCAAGCGAGCACAAATCCTGCTGCCACTGCCCCAACAAAGTGAGCCATCAACATCATTCAGAGTGTTGTGGCCAGCCAACTGGGAATACCTCAGCCCCTTCAGTGCACCAGGTTCCTAAATTCAAGGAGTCAGAGAACAAAACCAGGAGCTCAATACAAACCACCAGAGTTACAGCATGCAGCCTGGAAGTGCTGAGCTGAGTCTTATCCCTCTACAGTCTTCCAGAAATGAAGCCAGTCAACTGAAAACACCTTGTACCACCATCAAACACCCAAGGGCATCAAAGAACATAAAAGCAAAAAACCCTATCCAAGTACAGCAGCTTTAAAGATTAAAGGAACATCAGCCCACACAGCTGAGAAAGAACCATTGTAAGAACGCTGACAACTCAAAAAGCCAGAGTTTCTTCTCATCTCCAAATGATCACACTAGTTTCAAATCAATAGTTCTTAACCAGGCTCAAATGGCTGAAATGACACAAATAGAATTTAGAATATGGATAGGATTGAGAATCAGGAAAAAGTAAAAATCCAATCCAAGTAATCTAAGTAATCTAGTAAAATGATACAGGAGATGAAAGATGAAATGGCCATTTTAAGAAAGAGCCAAACTGATCGGATAGAGCTAAAAAACTCATTTCAATAATTTCATAATACAATCACAAGTATTAACTGCAGAATCAACCAAGCTGATGAAAGAATTTCAGAGCTCAAAAACTGATTTTCTGAAATAACTCAGTCAGACAGAAATAAAGAATAAAGCAAAATGAACAAAGCCTCTGAGAAAAATGAGATTATGTAAAGAGACCAAACCTATGACTCATTGGCATCCGAGAGAGAGAGTGAGAGAGAGCAAGCTACTTGAAAAATATATTTGAAGAGACTGTCCATGAAAATTTCCCCAACCTTGCTAGAGAGGCCAACATTCATATTCAGTAAATGGAGAGAATCCCTACCACATACTTATAGCACGCGACCATCCCCAAGATACATAGTCATCGGATTCTCCAGTGTGGACATGAAAAAACAAATATTAAAGGCGGTTAGAGAGAAGGGCCAAGATCAGTTAAAACGTATTCCCACCAGGCTCAACAGAAACCCTTTAAGCCAGAAGAGACTGAGGGTGTGTATTCAGGATTCTTAAAGAAAAGAAACTCCAACCAAGAATTTCATATCCAGACAAACTAAGCTATATAACCAAAGGGAAAAAATATGATACTTTTCAGACAAGCAAATACTTGTCTACCAAACCTGCCTTATAAAAGGTCCTGAAGGGAGTGCTAAATATGGAAAGGAAAGACCTTTACCAGCCACCACAAAAACACACTTAAGTACATAGACCATTGACACTATAAAGCAACCACATAATAGCTAGCTAACTATCTATAAAAAAAAAATTACTAATTCTAGGACTGGGGAACAGGAAATATACAAGTTGAGCCTATAGCATTTTGTAGTGACAAATGTAAAGAAGTACTAAAAACAGGCCGGGCACGGTGGCTCAAGCCTGTAATCCCAGCACTTTGGGAGGCCGAGGCGGGCGGATCACGAGGTCAGGAGATCGAGACCATCCTGGCTAATACGGTGAAACCCCGTCTCTACTAAAAATACAAAAAATTAGCTGGGCGTGGCGGCGGGCACCTCTAGTCCCAGCTACTTGGGAGGCTGAGGCAGGAGAATGGCGTGAACCCGGGAGGCGGAGCTTGCAGTGAGCCGAGATCGCGCCATTGCACTCCAGCCTGGGCGACAGAGCGAGACTCCGTCTCAATAAAGAATAAAAAAAAAACAAAAAACAAAAACAAACAAACAAAAACCCCAAAAAAACCCACAAAACACAAGGGGGGAGGTATAACAAAGTCACTTAAGATTCAAATGAAAAAGCATTCAGATGGCCAAAGCTGGAACAATTTAGGCAACAAAACAAATACAGTAGGATAGAATAATAGCCCAAAGTAGTAAAGCAATATTTATGAACCCATATATACAGATAAGTGATGAATAATAATTCATTATAAATAAATGAGGCAAAAAAGACAAATGTCACATGCAGAATATAGATAATTTATGTAGATAATCTGCCCTAAAGGGGATAGAGCATAATTCCCCACTCAGGTTTGTGCTATACAGAGTGTCTTCTTTTACAAGAATACAGTATGGAAAGAGAGAGAAAGTAGTAACTTTAAAAAGGAGAAATCTGACAGACATTATCTCAGCCATGTGAGCAAGTTTAACATCAGTGGTGATAACAAAGGTTGTTAGTATGCATCATCAACATGATGTGATGAAATGACAACCTCTGTCGTCTTCCTCTCAATAACCCATAATCGCAATCTCATCACAGCAAATGCATCAGACAAACCCAATTTAATGAACATTCCATAAAATAACCTGACCAGTACTCCCTAAAATTAAGATCATCAAAAACAAGGAAAGCCTGGTAAACTGTTACAGTGAAGATGAGCCTAAGGTGAGATGATTACTAAATGTAGTGTGATATCCTAGATGGAATTTTGGAACACATAAAGGACAACAGGGAAAAACTGAGAAAATTTAGATAAAGGGTGGGTTTTGTTTAATAACAATGTATCAGTATTGATTTATTAATCAATACTGTACTATGGGGAAGTACACCATAATAATTGAAGATCTCAATGATAGGGTAAACTGGATTTAGAGTTTTGGAAACTTCCTTTGCTATCTTCATAATTTTTCTGTACATCTAAAATTTTTCTAAAAAATAAAGTTTATTAGCATTTTTAAAAAATGCAGTTACATGGGAGCCAGAGAAACAGGAAACAAAGTATAAATGTATATGTCTGTCTATCACTTATTCATTCTTTTGACAAACTTGTAAAGAATAGCGCTCATCTACAAGTTACTCACAGTCTAATGGAATAAAAAGTAAAAAGGCAGTAACAATTTTTTTTCCAGTGCAAAGACTATACTTAGCCAAATTTAATCTGCATGTCTACTCTTGAAACCTTCCCATCTTTAAGAGTTCAGGTGGATCAAGAAAGCCAGAGTGATAGCAGCCACCATCCCATGTTATCCTGAAATAGTTTTTTCAATGCAGATTATGTAGAATGGTTAATAAAGTAGTTTCTTGATAAAAATTATAATGCCGACTATAAAATACTTTTATTATTCATGAGCGACTAAGTTAAGAGATATTTAAAATTTTTTTCCATTGATTTTACTACCGAGTCTACTTTCAAAATTAAAAATAAAAAGCCACAGGGCAGTGGCAAGGAATGAGAAAAAATATAATCACTAGAGTGTAAATTATGTGGCTTGGTAAACTGTTAAATTTTAAAGAAAAATAAAGTAAATATTTTTGACTCTTATTTCAGGAAAATGTGTAATAAAATACTTGACTTGGAATATTTAACCAGGAAAGCAGAATGAATAAAGGAAAGTAACATTTACTAATCTACTGTGTTCTAGGCCTTGTGGTAAATATTATTAGTAATGGTCTATTATTTATTTCTCATCTTAGTTCAGGTTGCCATATCAAACTACCATAGACTGGATGGCTTAAACAACAGACGTTTGTTTCTCAGTTGTAGAGTCTGGGAAGTTTGGAGTCTAAGATTAAGGTACTGGCTGATTTGATTCCTGGTGAGAATTCTCTTCCTGGCTTTTAGATGGCTGCCTTCTTCCTGTGTTCTCATATTGTGGAGAAAAAATAAAGATCTGGCCTCTCTCTTCTTCTTCTTATATGTCCACTAATGCCATCATCATTGCCTCATCTTCATGTAAATTTTTTCCCAAAAGCCCTTCTTCCAAATACCATGGAGTAGAGGGGACAGTAGGTTAAAGTGACACAAACATTCAGTGTATAACATCACCATAAGCTGAAAGAGTAAATGTTATCTTTCTTTATTTCTTCTTATTTTTCAGCTAATGAAGCTAAGGTTCAGCCAAGTTCAGTGAGTTGTGCAGGGTCTGCCAGCAACTTCAGGTCTAGCTCCAGGCTATTGGCCGAGTAGTGCTCAGCTATATAATTCACAGAGATAACTGTTGGTAGCAAACCTAAAAGCTCAGTGCCATAATACTGGGGAAATTTATTTCTCTTCCACTTTCAGGGTGCAATTCAAGTCAGCAAGGACCCCTACATCTTGTATCTGGTAAATCTGACATCACCAAGAGATTTGGCATCCTCCAATAGCTTCCCTGCATTAGGTCAGCACAGTGGGAGAAAGATCATGAAGGATTATGGAATGTGTTGTTGCTGTTGTTGTTGTGCTGTTGTTTAAGAGCCATTTTTGCCTATATTCTACTGGCCAGAATTCAGTTACAACATCACAACTCACTGCAAGGAGAGCACAAAAATATAGTCTTGCTGCATGGCTAGGTAGAAAATGGAAAAGAACAGAAAGGGTGTAATAAAACAAACAGTCTCAGCCTCAGTAGTAGAAAAGTCCCTCTGGAGCTTTAGTTTCAGAAAGACAGTCCTCTGTTATGAAGGAAGCTGATTACAGCAACTCAAGCACAGGTTGGGGTTTATAGGCATGACATCACTTACATATGGGCAAAGAGGAGAAGGAAAGACTTTTATTGAAAAAAAAAAAAGAGTCTCTCACCAAAAGACAAATCAAAATGAGCCAAACCATATGTGAAAAAGGCAAGGGGTATGGAAAGTGTATAAGGACAGGAAATGAGCAGTACAGAAGTTCTGATTAGTCAGTATGAGGAACACTTCAAATGAAGCCAAGAGGTAATTAAAACTTAGGAAGGAAACCATATAGACTGATGTGAAGCAATAAACTTCAAATTTTAGCAACACTTCTTGGGGTATAGTCAGTATTTCTGACAGTATTTCTGGGGTATTTCTGACAGTAATTCTTCTGATTGTAAAAAGTAGTGTAAGCTTGAGCCAAGACTTCAGGAATGTATACCATTCCAGGAAAGTAGCTTTCCTGTTGGGAAGCTTTATGGCTAAGTATCAGCAAAATCCCATTAAATCAATTGCATGCAGGTGTTAGAATTTTCCATAACATGTAGGGGTTGCAGGCAAAATCTTATCTCATCTAAAGAAAAGGCATCTGCACATGTTACCAGAGGTGAATTCCTATGGGTCAACCCAATTCTTGTCTCTCCTCAGCAACAACCTCAATTCTTGCCTCCTCGGACGAAAGAATTTGACCAAGGGAACATAAGGCAGAGTGAGAGACTGAGGCAAGTTGTAGAGCAGGAGTGAAAGTTTATTAAAATGTTTTAGGGCAGGAATGAAAGGAAGTAAAATACACTTGGAAGAGGGCCAAGTGTGTGACTTGAGAGACTGACATATGCAGTTTGACGTTTTACTTGGAGTTTTCTATGTTGGTATTCTTCCGGAGTCTGCCTCTCTCCTCCCCTGAATCTTCCTTTGGGGTAAGCTGTCTGCATGCACAGCGGCTTTCCAGCACCTGAGAGGGGCCACATGTGCAGTGTGTTTCCTAGAGTTGTATGCATGCTCACTTGAGGCATTCTTCCCTTACCAGCCAAATGTTCCCAGAAGGTCATATACCAGTTAAACTCCACCATTGTTCCTCTTAATGCCCATGCTTGAGTCCACTCACCTAATTCCTGAGATTTTATTGGGAAGCTGCTGATCCCCCGTTTCTGTTTTTTTCTAGCTATTGGGAGACTGCTTTTCCCTGATGCTGTTTGCGACCAGTTATTGTTTTAGACAGACAGTATAACAACTGCCTGACTATCACCTGATGGTTTCCTGACATTCCTGATTGGGGGGCTGAGGCTTCGGCCTTCCTCATGTCCAACTAGCTATCTACTGTAACACGCATAGTTCTTAAGATAGCCAGACAAGGATACTAAGTAGATAGATGACAAAATTTGAAATCCTATTGTATTTTCTCATTCTCATCTTGTCAAACCCTGATTTTTACTTCCTACAGTTATGTATAAATTGAGTCTTTAAAACCCCAATGTCTTCTGTACTGATACATCTTACATCTGGCTTCCAGTCATTTCTCATACCATAATGGCAATTCTAACCTGTTCTTTTAACTATTCCATCTTCACACCTTGTGTTTACTAGCTTGTTTCTTTGCTCCTGCATTCAATTCTTCCCAAAATGCAGGGCTTTCTTATTATGTACACGGAAATACCTACTTCATGATTGCTAGAGTTTGAACATTTGACCCTCCAAACCTCATGTTGAAATTTGATTCTCAGTGTTGCAGGTGGGCCTTAATGAGAGGTGGTTGGGTCAAGGGGGTGGATCCCTCATGAATTTCTTAGTGTCAACCCCATAGCATCCTCATAGTTTCTGTGAGAGCTGGTTGTTTAAAGGAGCCTAGCGCTTCCCTCCTCTCTCTCTTTCTTGTTTCCTGTCTTGCCATGTGATCTCTGCACATGCCAGCTCCCCTTTCCTTTCCACCGTGCGTGGAAGCACCTTGAGGCCCTCACCAGCTACCAGCACCATGCTTCCTGTACAGCCTGCAGAACTATGAGCCAAATAAACCTCTTTTCTTTATAAATTACCCACCCTCAGGCCTTCCTTTATAGCAACACAAACGGACTAAGAAACACGCTATTATATAATTTGCCATACAAATTTCTGCCTAAGTAATTATTACTTTGACAGTATTATCTAATCACTGGAATGACATTTTGTGTTTGATAAATAACCCCCAAATAATTAAAGGTCATAGCAAGACTATTTTATACATTATTACTTGAAAAATCAAGATAATACTTCATATTTTCTAGAGGACTTTTTTTTTCAAAATCCGGCTAATTCCATTAAAAAATAAGTTGGTTAGAAATTTCCAATCTGACATTTTACATGCTCAGATAAATAAAATAGTTTATTTCTGAAGATTCAATTAAAATCATTATTCCATTTCATTTTTGAAAACATATAAATTTTCCATTGTTTCATCAAATATTTAGGTATGGCACATTAAGTAGCTAATGTGACCATATTTCTTCTTCATAGAGAAGTTGGAAGATAGAATGATTCAGTTGAAAAATATCCATACACTGCTGAATTTCAGTAACAACTCTAATAACTAGCATCCTTATAACTATACAAATAGTAATTAATCTTTGCTAAATTCAATACTATCTCAAATAAAATAAAAATTTGGGTGACTGTGTGAAGCTAATATTTTTTAAATAATGATTCTATCTTCAGGTAAGGAGCTGGTTTTGTGTTTCATTTTGGGACTTGGTAGCAGAAGGTGAAAGTTTATTGCAGGTGGCTATAACCTCTCCTTATACTCAGAGATCATCTTGCCTATATATAAATATACTTTTTTTCTAACTTTTTATATTCATATAATTTTATCTATCATTTTTTTACTCCTTTAGTTTAAAAAAAAAAACAAAAAAACTCTAGGCAAATTTACTATACTTTAACAAAAACCACATTCCCATGCTGCCTTACTATGTTTTTTTTTTTTTTAACTAAAAACACATCTTACTTTCCTTATATATTTTGCATGAAGAATTTTGTATCTTATATGTAGTTGTTTTAATTACATACATTTGTTATAATGTTAACTTATATTTAGTGAAAGAACTAGGAAGTAAGAAATTTTAATTATGAATCAGATGCAGAGTCTGGGACAAAGGGCAGAGCTGCAGATAAGGGCTGACCCTTCCCAGCATAGCCAGGAGGAAGAGTTAGGCCCAGGAGAGCTCCACATGTCACTAGGCCTTGTCATGGCCATTTGTTTTACAGCCTAGAATCTAATGGCTCTAATACAGACAAGTTAAACAATTATCAAAAATATCACAGAAGTAGTTTATAAAATTAAACCATCCAGCAGACAAAATCTGACCTGCCTAATTCAGACCAAATGTCTAAATTAAATTTTGAAGTCTTTTATAATTTATCTTACCAATAATTTTAAAACTGTCTCATTAACCAAAGATTACTATAATTCCATGAACTAAAAGGCATTTGAGCTAGCTTTTATATTTTTGATAAAATATTTGATTTGAGTGCTTCCTTTTATTTTAAGCCAATTAATTACAGCTCATATCTTTTGGTACTGCAACATCACATACATGAGGCACATATAAATATATAGACATAGAGGCAAATAGAAGCATATCTTACAGATTATAAGATTCTTCATTTGCCAGTTTTTAGTTTCTGTCCTACACTTTAGACTCCCTATCTCTTGATTTTCTGTTTTCCGTCCCAAATAATTGCTCCCTAGGCAAGCCTGAATTTGAATTTCTAAAGGGACAACTCGTAAGTGATGCAAGGTAGAACATTTATGTCTCAAAGCACAGAATCAAAATATTAGGCCTAAATATTGTACTGCCATTTGCTCAAACCAAGGAAAAACAGTGGTATAAGTAAAAGTTCAGTTGAGATGTCCAGGAAAAGTACCTTAAACAAAGGTATTACTTACAAATTTAAAACAATGCTATGAGTTTCTAACATACACAGGCAGACACCCTTCCAAGTGGAAACCTTTATAAAGATGTAAATTTTTTGTACAAAAGTGTTTGAGGGGAGTCAGCTAAATGATAGAAATTTATATTTTGGTGCTCAAACTTAGCTTGTTTCTTAATTAGAATACCAGCTTCTTGGTGGAGCCCTGTGGTGAATATGGGAAGGAAACATGTAGATTTTAGGGCCTAATATTTAAATACGTGAGAAGAAAGCACAGCTGGAAGGCAGAACACAGATCCCCCAAAAATCAAGGGTCCTATTTTTACATCAAATCTTGGGTTCCTCCAAAGAGGAAAATGCCACAGGATAAAATGCTTTCACAGTGTACCTGACTGTAAGGACATATCCCTGAGGCTAGCTGCAATGCAATGCAATGCAAAAGAAACTAAAGATAGCAGAAAGGAGGAATAAGGTGGATTAAAAATAAATAGAACAATTTTAAGAAAGGAAGTAAACAGACGTGCCAAGTACATAATTGTTTAAAAATGTTTTAGCTGCCGGGTGTGGTGGCTCACATCTGTAATCCCAGCACTTTGGGAGGCCCAGGCAGGCGGATGATGAGGTCAAGAGATCAAGACCATCCTGGCTAACAAGGTGAAACCCCATCTCTACTAAAAATACAAAAAATTTGCCGGGCATGGTGGCGAGCGCCTGTAGTCCTAGATACTCGGGAGGCTGAGGCAGGAGAATGGCATGAACCTGGGAGGTGGAGCTTGCAGTGAGCCGAGATCACGCCTCTGCACTCCAGCCTGGGTGACAGAGCAAGACTCTGTCTCAAAAAAAAAAAAAAAAAAAAAAAAATTACCCAAAACAGGATCTCAAAAGAGAAGAAGCATAAAGACTATATACATATATATATATATATTTCTTCTGCAATGTTTTCTCTGAAAGATTTTGAAGAATGGGGGAAAATTAGAAAAAAAAATAAAATCTTGGGACATGAAACTCACTATGCCAAAGGGAAAGTTAAGCTTGGGAACTGAGTCATCAAAGCTGTCTTCTTTTTTTTCCCAGACAGCTGTAATTTTACAACCACATGTCATAGCCTCATCTCCTTTACTTCTTCTTTACTTTTTCTTTTCATATGTTTACTTTATCTTATATAAAATGTAGATATACTAAGTGTGAGACAGTGCATAATTGATTTTTTTTCTCTACTCTCTCTTTTCACATGTAAAATGTGGATTTACATACACTAATTAGAGCTTCATGAGAATGTAACCATTTAACTCACTGCCTACCCTCCCTATCTTTTTTTCCCCTCCTGCTTGCTCTTTCCCATTTAAATATTGAAGTTCACAAAAACCCCTTTGGAAAAAGCATAGATTACAAGTGTTACTGTAATTTGTGTGTTTTTCTTTCCAGGTGCATCTTCAATGTTAGCTAAATACACCTCTAACGTATTGAAGGAAAAAATTCAAACCAGACAGAGAGGACTGGAATATATAACTAGCGCTTCAGTGCAAAGACACAGACCTACATCATGAGAAACAACAGCCCACTAGGAACCATAACCTCCCCCACCCAAAAAAAAAAAGTCACTGACCATAGCAAGATAGCAATATGTGAGTTCTCTGACCAAGAATTTAAAATAGAAGTTTTAAGAATATGCAGTGCATAGCAATTCACAAATTTATGAAAGTAATTTAACAAATAAATTGAAATAATTTTTAAAAATCAAATAGACATCTTAGGAATCAAAAATGAATTTGCTAAACTGAAAAACTCATTGGAGGCTCTGAACAGAAGAATGGAATAAGCAAAGGAAAGAATCAGGGCGCTTAAACACAGGCTATTTGATATTACACTGTTAGAGAAAAAAAAAAAGAAAGAGAAGAAATGATAATCTCCTGCAAGATACAGAAAATTATCTCAAAAAAATCTAAGAACTACTGGTGTTCTACCGGGAGTTGAACAAGAGAAAGAGGTGGAAAAGTTACTCAAAGAAATAATAACAAAAAATTCCCAAACATGAGAAAGATAGAAATATACAGTTACAGGAAAATCAGAGAATGCCAAACATATTTGATGCAAATAAGACTACCCCAAGATAAATAATAATCAAACTCTCAAAGGTCAAAGACAAATTAGGAACCTAAAAGCACAAAAGAATAGTTGCAAATAACATATAAAGGAGCTTTAATTCCTCTGCCAACAGACTTCTCAGTGAAAATCCTATGGGCCAGGAGGGAGTAAAACATTTTTAAAGTGCTGAAAGAAAAAACTGCCATTTGAGAATAGAACAAAGCTATCCTTCAGATATGAAGGAGATATAAAGTCTTTTCTAGACAAACAAAAACAGTGACAATTCACCACCACCTGACCCATCTTATAAAAAAATCTTTAAAAAGTCTTCAATATGAAATTAAAAAAAACAAATAAACAATAATATGCAAAAAATGAAGCATTTGAAGGTATAAAACTCACTGGTAATATTAAGTACAAAAGCAACCCCAGAATACTGTATTACTGTAATTGTGGTGTGCAATCCAATTATAACACTAATTTAAAGCCTAAAAGACAAATCTGTTAAAAACAATGGTAGCTACAGCAACCTTTTAAAAGATAGGCAATATTAAAAAATGTAAATAGAGACAACCAAAAGTCAAAATGTTTGGTATGGAATTAAAATTGAGATTTTTTGGTTTGAGTTTGCTTTTGTTTTTATACATATTTCATGATCTAAGTTGTCAACTCCTTAAAATAACTTACTATACCTATTAGCTGGTTTTTGTAAGCCTCATGGAAACCACAATGCAAAAAGGTATAATAGGTACACTAAAAACAAAATTCAACAAGTTAAAATGTAGCAGGACGAGCTGCAGACAAAACCCCTCAGACACGGAATTGTAGAAGGAAGGGCTTTATTCAGCTGGGTGCATCAGCAGACTCACGTCTCCAAAAACCGAGCTCCTTGAGTGAGCAATTCCTGTTCCTCTTAAGGGCTTACAACTCTAAGGGGGTCCGCATGAGAGGGTCATGATCGATTGAGCAAGCAGAGGGTACGTGACTGGGGGCTGCATGCACCAGTAATTAGAATGGAGCAGAACAGGACAGGGATTTTCACAGTGCTTTTCTATACAATGTCTGTAATCTATAGATAATATAACTGATTAGGTCAGGGGTCAATCTTTAACTACCAGGCCCAGGGTGTGGTGCTGGGATGTCTGCCTGTGGATTTCATTTCTGTCTTTTAGTTTTTATGTCTTCTTTCTTCGGAGGCAGAAATTGGGCATAAGACAATATGAGGGGTGGTCTCCTCCCTTAAAAACATATTATCAGATATAATCACTTAACTGCAAAGAATGGCATTAAGAAAGGAAGAAAGGAAGAGTTACAAAATAAAGCAGGCAAGCAACAAAGTTGCAGTAGTAAGTCCTTAGTTATCAATAATACCAATGAATGTAAATGAATTCAATTCTCCAATTAAAAAATACAGACTAGCTGACTGAATTAAGAAATGAGATCCAACTATATGCTGCCTACAAGAAACTCACCTTACCTATAAAGACTGATATAGACTGAAAGTGAAGGGATGGAAAAAAAGCATTCCATGCAAGTGCAAACCAAAAAAGAGTAAGTAGCTTTATTTATACAGATAAAATAGACTGCTCATCCAAGACTGTAAAAAGACAAAGAAGGTCACTATATGATGATAAAGGGGTTAGTTCTGCAAGAGGATTTAATACTTGTGAATATCTACACACACAAGTATATAAAGCAAACATTAATAGATTGAAAGGGAGAGATAGACTGAAATATAATAGTAGTAGGGAATTTCAACACCCATTCTAATTAATGAACAGATTGCCTAAACAAAAGTCTGCAAAGAAATATCAGGGTCAAACTACACACTAGGCCAAATAGACCTAAATGACCTTTATAGAAAATTTCACCCATCTGTGACAGAATACACATTTTTTTCATCAGTACGTGGGACATTATCCACAATAGAACATATTTTAGGCCACAAAATATGTCTCAATACATTAAAAAAGTAGAAATTATATCAAGAATATTTTCTGATCACAATGGAATAAAACTAGAAATCAGTAACAAGAGGAACTGTGGAAAATATACAAACACATGGAAATTAAACAACATGCCCTTGAATGACAAATAGGTCAAGAAGGAAATTTAAAAGTAAATTTATTTTCTGAAACAAATAAAAATGAAACATTCCAAAATCTATGGAATACAACAAAAACAGTACTAACAGAGAAGTTTACAACAATAAACACATGTTAAAAAAGTTGGAAGACTCCATATAACCAATGTAATGATGGACCTGGAAGAACTAAAAACGCAAGAACAAACCAAACCCAAAATTAGTATAGGAAAAACAAATGTTAAGGATCAGAACAAAAGTAAATGAAGTTGAGATTAAAGAAAAACACAGAAAATCAACAAAATAAAACGTTGTTTTTTGAAAAAGTAAAGAAAATCCACAAACCATTAGCTAGCCTAACTAAGAAAAAGGGAAAACTCAAATAAATACAATCAGAAACAAAATAGGACATAGCAACTGTGACCACAGAAATACAAAGAATCATTAGAGATTATTATGAACATCTGTATGCCAACAAAGTGTTAAACCTAAAAGAAATGCACAAATTTCTGGACACATACAACTTACCAAGTTTATAACATAAACAAATAGGAAACCTGAAAAACTAATAAGAAGTAATAAGATCAAAGCCAAAATATAACAGAAACAAATAAGAAACCTGAAAAACCAACAACAAGTAATAAGATCAAAGCCACAAATCCTATCAAAGAAAAGCCCAAGACCTGATGACTTCGCTGCCAAATCTTATCTCACAAATATTTGAAGAAAAACTAACACCAATTCTATGCAAACTCTTCAAAAAAAATTAAGAGGAGTAAATACTTCCAACCTCATTCTACATGGCCAGCATTACTCTGACACCAAAATGAGACAATAATACAACAGAAAAAGAAAACTACAGGCCCATATCACAGATGAACATAGATTCAACAATAATCAACAAAATACTGGTAAACTGAATTCATCAAATGTTACAAAGATCATTCAACATGATCAAGTGGGATTCATCTCAAGGTTGCAAGGATGGTTAAACATATGCAAACAAGTAAGTATGATACGTCACATTAACAGTATCAAGAGCAAAAACTATGTGATCATTTTAAGATTCTAAACAAATCATTCAATAAAATTAAACATCCCTTTATGAAAAAAACCTTCATCAAACTGGGCAGAGAAAAATCATACCTCAAATTCACAAAGGCCATATATGACCAATTCACAGCCAATATCATACCAAATGGGGAAAATTCAAAAGCCTTCACTCTAATACCTGCAACAAGACAAGGATGCCCATTTTCACCACTTTTGCTAAACATAATACTGGAAGTCCTGGCCAGAACAATTAGGCAAGAGAAAGAAATAAAAGACATCCAAATTGGAAAGGAAGAAGTCAAAGTAGCCTTGTTCACAGACAATATGATTTTATATTTAGAAAAATCTAAAGACTCCACCAAAAAACTGCTAGAACTAATAAACAAATTCAGTAAAGTTACAGGATAAAAAAATCAATATACAAAAATTAGTAGCATTTATATATGTCAACAGCAAACAATTTGAAAAAGAAATCAAGAAAGCAATCACATTTATAGTAGCTACAAAAATATAAAGTACCTAGGAATTAATTTAACCAAAGAAGTGAAAGATGTTTACAAGTGAAACTATAAAACACTAATGAAATAAATTTAAGAAGACATAAAAAATGGAAAGATATTTCAAGCTCATGGTTTGGAAGAACTAATATTGTTAAAATGACAGTTCTACCCAAAGCAATTTATATATTCACTGCAATTTCTATCAAAATGCCAACTAATTCTTCATAGAAATGGAAAAAAATCCTAAAATTTACATCAATCCATAAAAACTCCATATAGCCAAAGCCTTCCTGAGCAAAAAGAACAACACTGGAGGCATCACACTATCTGACTTCAAAATATACTACAGATGTATAGTAATCATATCAGCATGGCATAAAAACACTCATACACCAATGAAACAGAATACAGAATTCAGATATAAATCTACACATTTACAGCCTACTTATTTTATTTTATTTTATTTTATTTTATTTTACAAAAAAGCACCAGGAGCATGCAATGGGAATGAGACAAACTTTTCTACAAATGGTGCTGGGTAAACTGGATAACCATACACAGAAAATGGAACTAGACATATATTTCTCACCACATATGAAAATCAAGTAAAAAAGAGTTTAAAACTTAAATCTAAGACTTGAAACTACAAAGCTTCTAGAAGCTCTTCAGGTCAGGGTAAAGATTTTTTTGTGTAATATCTCAAAAGCACAGGTAACAAAACAAAAATAGACAAATGGAATTACACAAAGTTAAAACGCTTCTGCACAGCAAAGGAAATAACAAAATGAAGACACAACTCAGAAAGGGAGAAAATATTTGCAAACTATCTATCTGACAAGGGATTAATAACCAGGATTTATGGATCTCAAACAAGTCAATAGCAAAAAAAAAAAAAATTCATTTTTAAAAAGGGCAAAAGATCTAAACAAACATTTCTCAAAAAAAGACATACAGGCAAGGTGGGGTGGCTCAGCCTTATAATTCCAGCAGCTGGGGAGGCTGAGGCAAGAGAATGGGGAGGCTTGAGCCTAGGAGTTCAAGACCAGCCCGGGTAACATAATGAGACCCCCATCTCTACCAAAAAAAATAAAAATAAAAATTAACCAATTTTTTGTGACATGTGCCAATAGTCCTAGCTACACAAGAGGCTTAGGCAAGAGGACTGCTTGAGTCCAAGTATTTGAGATTGCAGTGAGCTATAATCATGCCAGTGTACTCCAGCTTGGGTGACAGAGCAAGACCCTGTGTCAAAAAAAAAAAAAAAAAAAAAAAAAAAAAAAAAGGCATACAAATGGCCAACAGGTATATGCAAAAAAAGTTCAACATCACTAATAATCAATGAAATGCGAATTAAAACCACAATAAGATATCCTCTCACTCCAGTTTGTGGGAAAGAGAGTTTCCAGGGTGCCAGATGAGTTGGTCTCCCCTGTGTGAGACACCCATGGGGAACCATGGGCGGCCTCTGGGGAGAAAAGTCTCCTTATTGCCTTCCTGTCTTTATGCCCCCAGAGCATAACCGCTCAGCGGAATTCCACAGGTTGCTCGGCGAGATAACACTCCCCCTCCTGAAACCCGCACCCACCCGTTCCACTCCCAATAAGTTAAAGATCTTAAGTAGTTTAGACACACGCCTTTGCTCAAGGAAATTCACAGAAACCGCCACTGCTATACATCTTATTGAATGACTCACGAGTTCTCCTTAACCAATTAATCCTTTTCCTCATCCCTTCCTACCCCTCCCATCTTCCCTAAGAACAAAGAGCTTGTATATCAATAAATTAGGCGGAGCTGAAGAGCTCTGGGCTGTAAGCAAGCTTCGGAGGCTCAGGTCCCCTGGACCCGCCTTTTAAACTCTTATTCTGTCTCTTTCTAACTCCTTTGTCTCTGCTGGACTGGGGTACCCGCCTGGTGGTGTGGCGCTAGTTTCCCCAACACAGTTAAAATGTCTTTTATCAAAAAAAGATAGCAAATAACACACGCCAGTGAGGATGTGTAGAAAGAGGAACCCTTGTACATTGTTGGTGGGAATGTAAATTCATACAGTCATTATGGAAAATTGTACAGAGTTTCTCAAAAAACTAAAAATAGAACTACCATATAATCCAACAACTCCATTAATGGGTATATATCGAAGAGAAACAAAATCAATATGTCAAAGATACAGCTATACTCCCACGTCTACTGCAGCGCTATTCATAATAGCCTAATATGGAATCAACCTAAGTGTCCATCAGTGGATGGATGAAAGAAATATGGTATAAATACACAATGGAATATTACTCAGGTGTAAAAAAAATAATGAAATCCTGTCATTTGCAACAACATGGTCCACCCATGGAGGTCATTGTGTTAAATGAAGCAAGCGAGGCACACAGAAAGACAAATATCGCACGTTCTCACTCATGTTCTCCCTGATGTGGGAGCTTCAAAAAGTGAATTTCATGAAGGTAGAGAGTAGATTGATGGTTGCCAGAGGCCAGGAAGGGTTGAGAGAAGGGAGGGATAGAGATGTTGGTTAATGGGTATAACTATTCATTTAGATGGAAGAAATATGACCTGGTATTTGATAGATCACTAGAGTGACTATAGTTAACGGTAATTTATTGCACATTTATAAATAGCTAGAACCGGCGGGGCGCAGTGGCTCATGCCTGTAATCCCAGCACTTTGGGAGGCCAAGGCGGGTGGATCACCTGAGGTTGGGAGTTCAAGACCAGTCAGACCAACATGGAGAAACCCCGTCTCTACTAAAAATACAAAATTATCCAGGCATGGTGGCACATGCCTGTAATACCAGCTACTCGGGAGGCTGAGGGAGGAGAATTGTTTGAACCGGGGAGGCGGAGGTTGCGGTGAGCCGAGATCTTGCCATTGCACTCCAGCCTGGGCAACAAGAATGAAATTCCATCTCAAAAAAAAAAAAAAAAGAAAAAAGAAAAATAGCTAGAACAGAATAATTCAAATGTTCCCAGCAAAAATAAAAATAAATAATAAATATTTAGGGTGACGAATTACCCAATTACCCAGATTTGATTGCATGAACATATCAAATTATCACATACATTCCAAAAATATGTACATTTCATATGCATTAATAAAAAAATTTTTTTAAGAAAAAAATCTGTAAGTATGAACCAATTATTTGATAGAATGCAACTTACATTATTGAAAGTGGCTAACATGTGAATGGGGATAAATTAAGTGTTTCCTTTTCTTCAGAAAAGGGGGTTCTAAAACAATCACAATAGCCCAAGTCATGCACTGATCATTTTCTGAGAATCATGTTTGCATACATTTTCTACAAAACTATATGACCTTTTATTGTAGGCATTTTTAATTGCATTTAGGAAAGGAGAAAACTATGAGTCAAAAGGTAATGTAAGTAATTTGGTCAAGGCTCCAAAGCTAAAAATTATCAGGGATAAGAGTGCAAGCCTACTTACTAAAAAGTTCCTGCTAGCCCAGGGGTGGTGGCTCACGCCTGTAATCCCAGCACTTTGGGAGGCTGAGGGTGGGTGGATTATTTGAGTTCAGGAGTTCAAGACCAGCCTGGCCAATATGGTGAAACCCTGTCTCTAATAAAAATACAAAAATCAGCCAGGCATGGTGGTGTGTGCCTGTAGTCCTAACTACTCGGGAGGCTGAGAGAGGAGAATTGCTTGAACCCGGGAAGCGGAGGTTGCAGTGAGCTGAGATCGCACCACTGCACTGCAGCCTGGGTGACAGAGTGAGACCCGTCTCAAAAAAAAAAAAAAAAGTTTCTGGTACTTACATTGATTATTCAGTTTTCGTCACCAAAGTCAAAACCACGGAGCCACAGCTATTTTGCAATCTCGATATTTTTCTGTAGAATATGTTCTATTTAAATAATTTGTATAACAATAGCACTGAAGTTCTTGTTTTCTGCATTGCTGATAAAAGCCATGTACTTTTTTTTTTTTTTCCTAAAAAATAGCCTCTAGGAACAAGCAACAAGACACAAACAAATGTAACAAAGATAAGTAAAAAAAGTTTTTTGGGAAAATAACTTCCAGAGTTATTAAGCGCTTCTAGAAACCCAACTTAAATGTCAGTTCTGGTTCAGATGTGGCAGAATAATTGTGTCCCCAATATTCTATTTTCATAAATGGTTTATGTTAAGAATAGCTGGAATATAACTTGAAAAGAGGCACCTGACTCTTTTAAGAAGATGCCAACACATCTTACAATACACAGGAGGTGCTAAATAGACCCTATTTGGCATTATTATTTGCTAAATAATCACCAGAGAAAAAGTCACTGTGGAAGGTAAGATAATATTATAGAGCAATGTATTAGGAAAATACATAAGCTTATATTGAATTGGTCTCTTGGACTTGAGTCCAGCTTTAAGAGCAAGAAAGTATGTGAAGCTTATTCATACCAATGGTTACTTACAGGATTTGAAGTATTTTGTCATCTTCATTCATTCTATAAAATGTATTGATTACCTACTAGGTATCCAACACCGTTTGGGCCACTGAGGATTTAACAGCACACAAAACCACAGCAACAAAAACACAAATGTGCTGTAGTTGCATTAGAAGGGATACTGCACATCAGGATAGAGATGAGATGCTGCTCTCAGGGGGACAATAGCATCAATGTCAGCTGGTTTAGCAAGGCTTAGGTAAGCATAGTAGTAAACGCTGCTCAATATGAAAGTGGGGCATGCATTCATGTACATGTGCTCATGTTGTGTTTAAACTTCACATAATGCAATTGTTTCAATAAAGAGTGGTATAATCATGAGATATATTTACTATAACTTGATAGTTTTGCTTTATTGAGTATTACTTCTTTTATTCATTTAGTAATTTGTTTAGATTGTAAGCCTTTTGTTTATTTTTGAAACTTCCTAAGTTACAGAGTTTATGAAGCAGTAGTTAAGCATTTATCTTTGTATTATTAATGACATTTTTGACTTATTTTGACCAATTCCTGAGCCACAGGATTACTGAAGAGCTTAACGTTTATTTTATGTGTCAACTTCATTGGGTTAAGGGATACCCATATAGCTGGTAAGGCATTACTCAGTAGGCTGAGTAAGGAAGATCCATCATTACCCAATGTGAGGAGGAATCATCTAATCTGTTGAGGGCCCAAATACAACCAAAGGGCAGAGGAAAGGTGAATCTGCTCTTTTCTGGAGCTCCTGCCTTTGGGCATTAGAACTCCAGTTTCTTTGGCCTTTGGACTCTGGAATGTACACATGTGGTCCTCCAGTTTCTCAGGCTTTCAGCTTTAGACTGAGAGTACACCATCACCTGCCCCGGTTTTCAGACCATTTGACTCAAACTGAATTACACCACAGGCTTACCTTGTTCTCCAGCTTGCAGAGGGCATATTGTGGGACTCCTCAGCCTCCATAATTACTAGAGCAAATCTCATAATATCTATCTATCTATCTATCTATCTATCTATCTATCTATCTATCTATCTATCTATCTCTATCTACGTATCTTATTCTGTTTCTCTGAAGAACCGTAATGCAGTCCCACACATCTAAAAATCTACGACTTATTAATTCCTGGCAAAGAAAAAACGTAAACATGTGTAGTTAACATCTTAGAAGGCAGAATTGAAAAGACTATTTTATCAACAAAAATTTAAAGAAAACACTATAAATAGGTATTATTTCTCCTTCCATAGCTCTTTGCTTTTTGAAAACCAGCCTATTAAGATTTTCATGAAATATTTTTAGTTTGTGCCAAGCAGTGTGGTTGGTGCTTAGTGTATATCAGAGTGTGGGGAGCAAACAAACAAATAAACAAAAATAAAACAGGCTTTCACTTTTGGCTTTTATGCTATAATCTGTCTCTACTGTATGAGAAACTGAGCAATTTCTAATAATCAGAAACAGTATACCAGTTTTTGATCTCCTGTTTGTAATTATCATGCTTTATTGGGAATTCTCAGGAAGGGTCCCCACGAAGAGCTATCAATTACTACTTTTGTATTCTATTCTTGGAGAGCAATTCTGAGTGGGCTTTTCAAAGCTCCCTTGATCTAATTTATTTGTGGGTGTGAAGTATGTAATGTTAAACTCCATATATGTCGTTATCCATTTATACTCCCTTTCTTAGAAGTCTAGTAAACCATACTTATATGAAGGATTAAATCAACACTATAAAATGGTGCTATTTAAATTGCAAGTGCACTTAGTGCTTTCCAAATGGATTCAGCAACAATCAATATTACAGTCCAATTTCAACTCTTTTATTGTTCGCATACAAAAATAACTACAATAGCAATTTGAATATATATGGATTATTTCTCCTAGGTTTCTCCATGCCTTGGAAAAACAGAGAAAAATAAAGTGCCTATTTTTGTACAATTATAAATCTAGATGGAATCTAAATATCTAGGACAACATGCTCTTTCCCCATAATACTTCTATTTATTTATTTTTTAAAAGTTTATAAAATGAACTTTTAGATAAAGTGTTACATAAGTTTATTAAATGAGACTATGAAAGTTTATGCAAATCTACCAAATCCAAGCAGTCTAGAATCACATATCTGGGTAGCAGCCTGAAAATGTTGGGTATTTGAATTTGTGGCCAATCAAAATCCACAGAGACAAATCCCCAATGGACAAAGCAATATAAAACCTTTATTAATAATTCTTTCTTGTCAAATACATCAAATAAGACCAATGCTGTGGTTAATCAGTTAATGATTAATTTATAATTATGATTAATTTATGAAGATTATAATTATTCAGTAAGTGCTTAAAATAAGTTTAAGAAACCCTCTATTTGATGTAAATATAGGTAAATAGTGAAAATGAGTACATAGTGAATGTGTATATACATTCTATATTGAATTAGTGAGCCCTCCATTAATTTAGTGACTTAACAAATCTAGAGATTCCATGTACTCAATTTAGTTTACTGAAAGTGAAATCTTTATTTATGATCTGTGGTTTGAAAATAAAGGAGATGTGATCAACACATGTTTTTTGTCCTGTGTTTTACTGCTCTTATCTAATGGGTAATTCCAGAAATGGGGAGCCCATGTTGCTCATATGAGCTCCTATGTCAAACCCAACAAGTATGGCTCAGAAACCTGATTATAAAGCATGTTAATGAAGCCAAATGATGTTCTAAGATGTTTTTAATTACAGTATCATTATGCCATTTTATATATGTATGGTATTTTATAAGACATTCATATTCTAGGTTCTTCAGACAGTTTTTTTTTAATTTTTATTCCCCCCTTAACTTCATTTTTAAATTATTTTTAGTCCAGACCTTTCATATTCCCCTTCAGCCTTCATCACTTACCCTGCTGTTACAAATTAGGATGAGAATCTAGTGATAGGAATAAAAACCAAGTGTAGATCCCCATTTGTCATAGCAAGATTAACGTTTTTATCACAGAAAATCTTTAACCAATATAAGCACCAAGGAGGTAGAAACGAGGAGAGGGGAAGTTAAAGAACTTTTTATGTCTGTACTATCCACAGAGATTCACAGAAGCTAAAGAACTTTTTATATCTGTACTATCCACAGAGATTCACTTCCTCTATGACTGTAGTGTAGAACTCTAGGATGCCAGATACGTTTTGTCTAATGAAATCGACTCGAAACAATCTGTGGTGGTTGCATGTAGTGTTGGCTTGAGAAAGGCTCTAAAGACTCAAGAGTTTTCAGGAGTACAGTACCATGCATAATTAATAATATTTGCCCCATTTTGCGAGGCATTTGGTAATCCTCACTATTAGTTCCCAGACTATATCTTTATGCTCTTGAGTTATGCTACCGAGTTATAATTCCTCTAAAACTTGCAGTGCTACCTCTTCCTTCATACCCTTCTGGATATCATTTCCCCATTGTTCTGGAAAGTCTTGAGAGATACATTGGTTCGTATTTCTGGTCATATAAGGTTTTCTCTTCCAGTCAAGTTAATTGCAGTGCCCTGAACCACACCATGAGTGCTGAGTGTTCACATAACCCAGGTGAGGACAATCAAGGCTTCTCATTGAAAATGGGCGCAGTGGCTCATGCCTGTAATCCCAGCCCTTTGGGAGGCCAAGGAGGGCAGATCACCTGAGGTCAGGAATTCAAGACCAGCCTGGCCAACATGGTGAAACCCCGTCTCTACTAAAAATACAAAATTAGCTGGGCGTGGTGGCAGGCACCTCTAATCTCAACTACTCAGGAGGCTGAGGCGGGAGAATCACTTGAACCTGGGAGGCAGAGGTTGCATTGAGCCAAGATCATGTCATTGCACTCCAGACTTGGCAAAAAGAGTAAAACTCTGTCAAAAAAAAGAAAGAAGGGAAGAAAGACAAAGAAAGAAAGAAAGAAAGAAAGAAAGAAAGAAAGAAAGAAAGAAAGAAAGAAAGAAAGAAAGAAGGAAAGAAAGAAAGAAAGAAAGAAAGAAAGGAAAGAAAGGAAGGAAGAAAGAAAGTCTACACTTGGATAGCAGAGATTTAATCAATGGTTGGGGCTAGAGCTGGAAGCTGGCTGCATAAAAGACAAATCTGAATACTGTTGCTTAGAAGACAGTTAGTTCAAAGTTTCTGAGTTAGCTAAATGGAGGAACCAGCTGAAGGCATTCAATGAGGTACAGAAGCTTCTTCCTCTTTTTAGCAAGGCAGTTTTCCCGACCGGTGAGCTTCCATCATCATATAAACATATCAATATTCCCTACCTCCTGTGTTTATAATATATAGAAAATCATGGGTGCAGGGATACTCTCCATTGGAACTTTGCCTGTAATGTATAAACATCTATGACTGCTTTATGATGTGCTTTAATTAAAGTTTGGAGGGGTGGCGTGCATGCTACTGAGCTACTATTCCTCTATTTGTATGTTTTTCCTCCCAAAAAATATGTTTGGTGCTAGTGATGTGTACTGGTGATTCCTTTGCTAAGCATAGGTCTTCTGGAAACACAGCTGTGGCAGGACTTTATGAAATGCAAAATGGAAAAAAAAAAGAGAGAGGTAAGGGAAGTGTAAGTTGGAGAAGGAGGAAGGCAAAGATGGCAACGTAGCTGTAGCAGATTCTCAGATGGAAGCAAATATAAGGAATGTCATTGTCTCTTAGAGACCATAATACTAATCTCTTTTCTCCATTCCAATTTTCATGAGGACTGCTATTCCTGTTCCTGAGTTCCATGCAGTTCCTTCATTTGAAATGCCCTTTCTTTCGTTCTCAGATTATTAGAATATTCATCCTTCATGGCTAAACTCAAATGTCAATGCTGCTGGGATGCCTGCCCTAATTTCTCAAGCCCAAATTAATCATTCTTTCATCTGCACTCTTCCAGAACTACACTTATGAATTTATTAAAGATTAATTTTACCCTACCATAATTTATTGGTAATAAATGAATCCTTCCTCCACTATAAATTTCCATTAAGATAGTGATTGGGTCTAGTGTATACATGCACATACTACATGTTCTGTACATGATTAAGATAAAAATAATTACTAAAATCTTACTATTAGGCCCTGTGACAGATTTTTTAAAAAAATATATCTTGAAAATGTTACTACTATATGAGAAAGATATCATCCCATTTTAAATATAAAAATTAGAACATATATATGTATAAAAACATATTTATATGTGTAAAACTAGTTAGTGGTACAACTAAGATTCAAATCAAGATCTTTCTGATACCAACACCTATGCCACTCAGTAACTGCTAAAATGAATTTTCATTCATGGTTTGATTGCCTAACCAAGATGAAAGGCTGACCTTGGATCACAAAATGTTGTTTAGATTAACATGAGATGAACTAAGCCATAGTTTTATTGATGGTCATTAACAAGGCTTTGATAGTTTCTATAATCTTTCTTTAACAGCCTGGGGAATCTTTGTTGTAAACACTTCAAAGAGAGCCAGGTTATCTCATCTTATAAACAATTCTCTGCATATTTATATCAAAGAAAGGAAGACCAAGTTTTTTAAAAAAAGATATTGTGACAGAGACATTGTGTTATTTCTCTGGAGTTGTGCATGTCAAGCGCTTATTGAAGGCAGTGAAGGTGGTAAGTTTATTCTTAGGCTGTCATGTGCTCAGTATTCACTGATTGTTCATGTAGATTCCATTAACTGAAAAAGTGTGATAATTCAGGCTCTGGCTATTTGAAATACCCAGTCTAATAATATCATGAAACACATAGGCTTAATGATGCAACAAAGATTTTAAACAAGATGGAGAAATTGCAGAGGAAAATAGTTTCAGATAATTAAATTATGCTTCAAGTAAATTTGACAATGCACACATTCTACACAGGCATCATGCATTACTGTCTCCAATATTTTTCTCAAATGATTCCCTTTTGTCAACCAAAGTTTACCCTTCCAAACATTACTCATATTTTAACTTCTCCAAGCAGAATATCCCTGTTTCAAGCTCTAGTCCCAATACTTTGTCGTGTTATAACTTTTTCTGTCTATGATTGCCAAAAGGGATCATGCCATCCTTCAAATTCCCAGGTCATTAAATTTTCCTCTCTCTTATGAACTGGAAGGGAACTAACAAAGGCTACACAAATACCCTGACCTTGGAACTGACTTTAATGCTTCTTTCCACAAATATCTGATGCTCATATAAAGACACAGAGAAATAACACATCATCCAAAACAAAAATGTTTTAAATACAGGAATCGAATTTTGAATCCAAATCTAACTTCAAATGCTATTCATTTAAATTTTGTCATCCTGTTGCCTGTGGCCTGGAACTATACGCAATTGATTTCTATATCTAAGTAGGGCACTTTTCACAAGCCCCCACCTGGCACGTACTACATGAAAGCAAACTAAATGTTGAAACACATTATGGCTACACATAAATATACATAGTTAGTTTTATCTCTTAGTAAAACAGTCTTGCAGTCCTCATCTAAATATCAAAGTTGATTTTCACCACACAGTATTAGCAATTCACTGGAGTTACTGTGTTTTTGAAGGGAATAAAGCAACATACCTTCCCAAAACAAAATCCATACTTAAATATTTTAAGATATTTAATAATTCAGGTGTTTTACTACTTCGACACAGTCAGCTCTTAAGACACTATTATTTCAAATTAATGAAGTTGGTTTGACAGGTACCTGTGGCTGGTGAACAAAAAGAATGATTCTTGACCATGCTGAGAGCCTACCCAATCCATCAGTGTTAACCCAGGTAACAGAAACACTAGGCAGCCCAGACCTTAGCACTGTCTTAAAATTATACATTTATTTGCGGGGGATGCAAAGACTGTCACAAGAACGCACAGCTGACACTGAGATAGCACAGAGGTCTTAAAATTTCATGATCTTCTTGTAGTATTCAAATTTACAAAGTCTTATGGGGCTTGAGAAAGTCACCGACCATATTGAGCCCAGCCGGGAGGTACAGTTACAGTGCCAGAAAAATAAGAGCAACCCTCCAGCTGCCCAAGCAACCCTGTAACCAGCCTGACAAATCTAAGGCAGTGGATGTCAGCACTTGTAGCACTCAAACACCCTTGTAAATGTTGCTTTCTAGAATCTAAGAGTACTGTGTAAGGTTGACCATATGCACTGACACATCCCTCCACACAACCACACACAAACAGTTGCCAGCATTCACTCTTTCTCCCTGTATTTTTTTTTCTCTCTCTTGCTCTCTTTCAATGTCATGTGAAAGCCATATTGGATGGCAAAGAAAGCCTGGATCATGCAGAATTCCTGCAAGCAAATTAGGGTAATATTATCAAGAGAAGCCTTAATTAAAGTCCATTGAAAAGTGAACTTAATCAAAAGTTGGCAAAACTAAGTTGATCTCCTAGGTTTTCAAGAGCATTGAAGTAGAGCAAAATATCCAAGATGCAGAGTGCAGTGCCTGGCACAGAGCAGGGTGCTCAATAAATTATTCAATAAAGAAGCCAATAGATGATGGTATAATATTGATTGGGTTGAATGTAGAGAGATTTTTGTTTATATTATGTTCTATAGATGATTATCTAACATTTTAGTTGAAATTATAAGGTAGTTAATATTTTAACCAGTGATATTTTTAGGCAAATATTTCCCCTCCCTTTGAAAACTGAGTGTATTGTTCAGTATACAACGTTATAAAATGTGACAAGAATAAAAGCTTTTTCTTTTCTTTCTTTTTTTTTTTTTTTTGAGACAGAGTCTCGCTCTGTTGCCCAGGCTGGAGTGCAATGGTGCCATCTTGGCTCACTGCAACCTCCGCCTCTGGGATTCAAGTAATTCTCATGCCTCAGCCTCCCCAAAAGCTGGGATTACAGAGATGCATCATCACGCCCAGCTGATTTTTTTATTTTTAGTAGAGATGGGGTTTCACCATGTGGGCAAGCCTGGTCTCTGGACCTCATGTGATCTGCCTGCCTTGGCCTCCCAAAGTGCTAGGATTACAAGCATGAGCCACTGCACCTAGCTATAAACTAACTTTTTTTTTTAATTGATCAACAAGGTACAGCCAAAACACTGTTCTAATTTATTAGGACTAAATTCCTAAACAAAGTTATTGAATCAACAATAATAAGACCCTCTATTTTCATTGATTTTAGACAGATATTAGCTTTCGTTTGACGCCCCAGAGAGAAGTACCAATAAGAAATCATCATTTCTCTGATGAAAGGTGATGTATTAGAAGTTTTATCTCCATGCAATATATAACTTAAAGCAATGGGTTAGGCCGGGCGCGGTGGCTCACGCCTGTAATCCCAGCACTTTGGGAGGCCGAGGCGGGCGGATCACGAGGTCAGGAGATCGAGACCATCCCGGCTAAAACGGTGAAACCCCGTCTCTACTAAAAATACAAAAAATTAGCCAGGCGTAGTGGCGGGCGCCTGTAGTCCCAACTACTTGGGAGGCTGAGGCAGGAGAATGGCGTGAACCCGGGAGGCGGAGCTTGCAGTGAGCCGAGATCCCGCCACTGCACTCCAGCCTGGGCGACAGAGCGAGACTCCGTCTCAAAAAAAAAAAAAAAAGCAATGGGTTAAGTTGACAAGATAGTACTCTCCACTTCAACCTAGGCCAGCTATAGGCAGTTTATGCCTGATGTGGTTCCAGGAATCCCTCAAGAACCTGGCTACGGATCTCAACCTCATTATCCAACATGACTGCCAGCTCTCCAACCATCACATCTGTTTCAAGAAACAGAATAGAAAAAAATGAATAATGGCAAATAGAGGTAAACTCCTTCTCTAACCAAGAATCAGAAATCCCACAACATTCCCTTTTTCATCTTCTTAAGAACTTAATTACCGAGACAAAACTAGTGAGAAGGTATAGTCTTTGCTCATGTTTAACATGTGACCAGCCAAAAATGTTACTATTGTTATTATTATTATGGTAGAAGGTTAAAACAAATATTGACATAGCCAAATAAATGTCTTGGCCACAAGTAGCATACTGTATAATAAAAACTCTGCATGTTGGGCATTCCATTCCACTAGGACAATGCCAAGACAAACCCTATATCTCTGGATTTCCCTTGCATGGGAAAAATGGAGATCTGCAAAGTGAAGCTGTGGCCAGTGTGGAGTTTCACATAACATATGCCTGAAGGCCATGTTCATGCTAAGGGAAAGCAATATTCTTTTCTGGGGCCAAAGATGAGAATGGTCAGCTGGTAAATTACTACAATTTGTGTCTTTTCTTCTTTGCTCATAAAGCAAGAATGTGTTTTTGTATTTTTATGCCTAGAGTTAAAGTCCATTTAATTCAGTTAAAATTTGTGGGTTAGTCAACAAGATTTAAAATTGAATACTAACTGATAATTCACTTACTTAATCATTTTACATCCATAGAGGCCCCCCAAAAAGTTATTAGAACCCCACACACTCAACACACACATACACTGAACACCATGAATGTCATGATTCCTATGTGTCAAGGACAAGACTGAATGTTAGTGAAGGTGAATACAGCTTCCAATATTTGAAATAATCTGTATCACTTTAAAATATTTTATATAACCGCTATCATATCTAAGAAAATAACAACATGTAGCTTCTACACAGGAAGCAATTTATGATAGTGGGATACAACTGTAAACTATTACTCCAAATTGCAGGGTTCTAGACCTGCCTCTGCCTCAAACTTTTTCAGTTTTTTGAGAAAGTTAAATAAGCTCTCCGGGGCTTCTTTCCTCCTCCGTAAAATCAAGGGGGTGAATTATTTTCCTTAGGGACCTTTTAGCTATGATACTCCATGGCTACATGGATTTTGTTGTCACTTTCAATCAAGTTTAATTTTCTTCAAGAATCAATCTTTTCACCTTTGGAAATTTGTTTCATTTTACAGGTCTTAAATTTATGTCTGAATCTCATGGCCTCAATATTCCCAGATCCTTATTTTAGTTTTATACTTATAGTCAGCAAAGGTTCTATTTTTAGCAATTTCCCAAAGGAATTGAAAGAGAGTCTCATCTTTGGCTCATTACCTCTGAGAACCGACTCACTGATGCCTGCTGTTTCTAAACCCTGTGCCCATCTCCTGCTTGTAATTGTCACCAAGGTCAGCACAGGTTTGTCACCTCTGTCAAATGGGGGAATCAAAATGAGTTTTCTCATGTTGAAAGCTGACTTGGGTTTGGGTCCCTGGAGCTTGAGGTTATTCCACACCGACTAGATAAAATGCCCCACTAAACAGCTACCAAAGAAACACACAAACAGGGGTTTTGTAGTTTCATTTTCATTTCTATGTCTTCCAAATTAAAATTCCTAGTAAAAGGAAATCATGGCTATTTCCAGATTCAAGAACTCAGTATCTGTGCTTATGTCAAACAAAGCCAAGTTTAAATACTGTTTGTTTTTTTGTTTTCTTTTCGATTGCCATGAAGTTGCAGGCCTGGCAATAGTATCAGGAGCTCAACTAGACAACAGGTAAAAATAAAAATAGATTAGAAACAAGTGATTGAATAATGGGTTTGGGGTTTCCGTCAGCAGTCATGATATAGTCGTCTTTGCTTCCTGTTTCATAGATGCTGGACTTATAGCTTTATGATAAGTTTGACACACTCTCAAATCATGCACATACACTAGCCATGCCACAGGCCCTCGGCTAAGATCTTGGCAATCTAAGGAACACCCTCTGTCTCCATCTTTAATCTCCTATATTTGACTTCTGGAATTGAATTGAGGACTATTCTTTAGCATATTTTATCTTGATTTGATTATTCTCCAAAGTTGTGGCTTTTTGCTGGTGGATAAATTCAAGAGATGGTTTGAATATTCCCAACAGTCTCAGTAAATGAACAGACATTACACTTTGTAATTCAAAAGTTTTCAAATGCATTTTCAAATTGATATTTCAGAGGAAATGCAAATCCATGATAAACTTTTTAAGTAAAATTTATGCTGTCTTTTCTAGTAAAATGGGAGGAAAATATTTATTTATGACATCCTATGTGATAAGAATCAAGCCAGATATATGGTAAACATTTTTTTCTTTTAATTCTCACATTTAAAAATTTGTGAAACTGCTTTAAAATGGATGAAATTACAATGCTGGGAGATTGTAAATGTACAGTTAGTCAGTCCATAAAGGAGGATAGCTACAATTCGATTCCATTGTGGCTTAACATCTGGGATCTCTCCATCAGCCAAGTTATGCTAATTCCAACTGGCTCAGTGTTTCTGCCAGTTAGCTGGTTAAGCCCTCCTTTTGTGACCTCACTAACCGTCTTCCCCACTGCTTGCCCTTCATGCCTGTCTGCTATTGCTGCCAATTCTCTGGGATCTTTTTCACTTTTCCCGATCTCATCACAGTCAGGGTCCTACATTTGATCCTGATTGTGACATGTGGTGCTGGAAAAATCCAAATACTTGGATTTTCCTAAAAACTTAGAATCACTTTGCATCATTGGTGTTTTGTGCTATTTCAGAGAAAATGTTCTGCTAAACCAGGACTTCTCAGGGCCAACAAGGACTGAGCTTTCATTGGCCAGGTCCTTGCTGAATCAAGGACCTGGGCAGCTGAAAAGCAGGACAGTTTACACCCTGGACATATACATTCTTTCTGTATTTATTTTTATTAATTTCTCTTTTAAAAATTTATCTCTACTTATTTTAAGGTTGCCAACTTGTCAACTTTCCGATTTTTTTTAGTCATTGCCTTTGGAAAGCCAAGAAATTTTGCAGACTCTGATACAGCTGAATATCATCAACTAGAAATATCATTTTGGGGAAGAGAATTTATACATTTCACTCCTTTTTTATCTGTGTTGAACTGCAAAGGGTGGAAAATTGAATCCTATGCTACTATCCGGTCAACAAATGTGCCCACGCTAGCAATGCTTTATGATGGCTTTTCAGAGCTGTAGCAAGTCCAATCCATGATTAAATACAAATTTTAACCTTCTTGCTTCACACAGAAAATGAGATTTGTGCCGTGGGCTTTTTTTCTAAAATGTTGAACCCAGCAGAAAGTCTCATCTTGCCATCCAGTTTTCCTTTCTACCATTTCTATTTGCATTTCATTAGCATAATGTTGAAAAATGGAAGCAACCAAATATTTTTTCATAAGTGAGCAGTGAGAGAAATGGAATATCCTGCACTCTTTTCAACTGCCTATTACTTTAGGATAGACCAGTGTGGTGCATTAAATGATTACAAACTGATTTTTTTCTCATGCTTATACTCTTTCCATATTCCGTGTTTCTAACCATACGTATTATATAAGGAGCAAAGCATTCTGAAATCTATATCATCATTATTTGTAAACTCATATATTACTGAAAAATGTGTATATGACATCTAATAAGTATCTCGCCTTTTTTGAAAGTCTGCTACTTAATAGGTCTTATCTATCCTATGTGGACATAGTTCCTTGCCCCAATTCACACTGCATAAAGATTAATGCCCTAGTCCAGCCTTAAGCTAATTTATTTATATTGTTAAGACATCTTGATGTGAGAACAGGCATTTTAGAAAAGTCATGCTTAAATAATTAATGTAAACTGTAACAGGCCCACCCTTGGAGCCTAGAAACAGTGGCTCTTCGATCTTAAGAGCCTTTCTAAAGAATAGCTACATCTGCATTGGCTCAAAATATTCAGATAATATATATGAACAACTTTAGGAATTTGCAAAAGTGAGTAACTTTTCTTTTAGGATTATAATAACTATATGCTTAATGAGTTCTTGTGGGTTGCAATTGTGAGACAGAGTCCAAATTTTATAATATCAAACTGGCCAATGTATGTATTTGACCAAAAATGCATCTTCAAATTGAATGCATCCAAGACAGAGGGCATGTGCCCTGTTTGGAGTGTTGGTAGAGATATGAGTTAATTTATATAAAATGACAGAATAAATTTGCTCAATCTTAAAAAAAAATAAAGCTGACCATGCATTTACAATTTACTTCAGCTGCTAACTTGTGATTAGGGCATCACTAGAGACTTCTATCATAAACCATTTGCTTAATAAAATAGCCTGAATAGCAAGGACTCCAGATTTTTCCTTTTTTTAGATATTCTTTTTGAATTCTTATTTTTAATTGACAATTATTGTACATATTTACAGGGTATAATGTAATATTTAAATACATGTTTACATTGTGGGATGATTAATACACACTAATTAACACATCTAGGTTTTTCTCTTTTGTGGAATAGATTTGCCTAAACCTACAAAATGGCAAGCCACAGCTTGGTGCAGAAAATTCTGTTTAGCAGCAAGACTACAAGTCATGTCATGTTTTGTTTTTCTGTGTTTTATATATGGAGATGTATTAGGACACAGAGATGTGCTGAGTAGTCTCTTTTCCAAGAGAACATGTAAATGAAGCTTGATGTAATAGTTTAGTAGTACATTCTGGTGGTTGACAGCATCCTCATAGGACTCTCCCAGACATAGGTATGGAAAGTTCTGGTGCTAAAGGCTGGTTCTGGGACCCAGAAGTAGGGAAAGGTATCTTACATGATGCCACCAAGGAAAGGTTTAGCAAGAAGTAAGAGATTTTTCAAGAATAGTGTCAAGGCTGGAAAATTGGAACAAAGACTATCTTAGAACCAGATAGAACTGGTCACTGAATTACTTTTCCCTGGACTATCACTTCCTTTCTCCACATTTCTCAGTCATCGATTTGGGAATCACAGAATGTGAACAAAGGCAGCTCATCTTGAGTGATGTTCCATCCAGAGAGGACTGAGGCCTGTGTAAATAAGACAGTGTCTAGAATGTTTATTTCCACCAGTGTTCATGTTCTCTGCAGAGATCTAAGTGACCTCTGACACTTTTCTCTGATTTCCACTTGGCTAGTTTTCTGTGATTAGTGGAGTCTTTCTGAACAGAATCATTTTCTACTCACAATCTCTTTCTTGTTTAGCATCAATTTCTAAGGCACAGGATAATAGTATTTAAGAATTAGTCCCTTATGCTTCCAAATACTGTAATCATACCTCCAGCGTCAACTGCCTAACAAAAGCCACACAAAAGACTAATGTTGAACATTTCAGGTGTCTTAAATTGGCATCTATCAGAAGCAGAGCCTGGATGAACGATTCAGGTATAACTGAAATGTGTTAAGAAAATGATCCTAGGAAGAACTGTTAATAGCAAGGGAGTGAGGAGAGCCAGTCTAGGAGGCAGAGAAGCCAACAAAGAAGTGATTTCAGGTGAAGTCCCAGATGCACCATCATCCCCAGTAGAGCTTTGAAGAATAAATTACACCTGCATTTACCACATTCTGAGAGAAAGGAAGTGGGCTGTTGTACTCCCCCACCAGTCATGGGGTGTGGGCCACTCTGGAATTGGGGAAAGGGGGACGGTAAGTTCTCAAGTGTTTCTGGGTCTTCCCATGGGTATGGAAACTCCAGTGCCCAAAGAGCCACCCTCAGCAATTTGCAAGTCTAAGACGTTAAGGGCAAAGCACAGAAAAGCTGAATGATGGTTCCAAAGATGTGCTAAAATGAATTTCATGGGATCTTAGCAGGGTACCAACCATTTTATCCATAAAAATAAGGACTTTAATTATGTCAAATATTGATAGACAGACACACAGAGATAGATCTTTGTGCAGAGAAGAAGGCTTTGGAGTAAGAGTAGAAAATCACAGCTGTACTAAAAAAGGTAATTTATATTCAAGTAAATTGTGAATTTAGCACCTTTATAGAAATTAATGGAGACATAATAAACTTAGGTTCCTCAATGTAGATAGGCAGAACTGTCACTTGCATTATTGGAGCTGAATTGATGAACTCAATTGAGTTTTTAGGATAAAGCCAACCTATGAATGCTTTGAATTCTTCACATACCTGATACATGGGTCATAGAGTCTCACATTTTAGAAAAGGAAGAATCTTTGGGATTTATCTGGCCCAGGTGATCTTGTGGGTTGTATACGCAAACTGAAATTCAGAAATGGTAATAACTTTTTGCAGGCACATAGCAAATGTGATGTCATCACAAGTTATTATAAAGAGTGCTCTAAGACTCATTGCTATTACTTGGTTGTAGTCCTTACCATCTTTTATCAGGATTCCTAAAACACCTAACCAATACCAGGCTCACTACCATCCAATCCATTCTCCACATTGTACCAAGGGCTAAAGCTGTTCTTTTAAACACTTTGGTTGCTTTATTTGTATTTACTGTGGACCTTCCTTCCTTCTCATGTACTTCTCTACCTCTCTAGTCTCCCCTCCCAATCCTAATTCCCTGTAAATCTACATTGAATATACGAATGTACTTGTTTATTTGAAAATGTTCATGTTCCTTCATGCTTCCATGTCTTTGTACTGGCTGTTCTCTTTTAGAACAGTTTCTGCACTCTCCTAAACTTTAATTGGCTAAAAAAAGTCTAATACTCATAGAAATGTTTTTGTCCTTTGTGCTCCCACAATCCCTGTTTATATTTCTTCTACCAGAGGGTATATCACTGATTATTGTCATATTCTGTTGACATCCTTGTCTTTCTCAGCAGAGTGTATATATTTCCCGAACACATCTTGTGTCTATTCATCATTAGAACAAAGTACCTGGCACATATGAAACATTCAAGTGTACTAATTATTGAAAATATGACGATGATAATACACATACTGTTGATACACTATTGATCTCTGGAGGATCCAGAAGAGTCATTTCAAAGTGACTATGAAATGTAAAGGTTGGAGTAATAAATCTGAGTAATAATCCTCTATCTCCCATAATTCACATTGTTAAGAACTTCTCATTGTATTTTGCCATCCAGTAATTGAAGATTCCCATTCAGAATCTCATTGGGATGCTGCTGTTTGTACACACAAATATCACACTGGTAGGCTGAAGGTTGCTTAAAGGCCCAGAAAACTGAAGTTCTGTATCTTTGCATCTCTGCTCTTAAGGATACTTTCGATTGCCAGCAGCGACCAGCCAATCCATGAAAGAGAAGTTCTTGGCTCATCTTATTGGGAAGTCTAGAGTTGGTAAAAAGAAAGGCACTGTCACATAATATATATCAGGCACCTCAAATTGGCATCTTTGATATTTGCTCTTCCTTCTCAACTCTGATGCTCTTAGTTTTCATCATTACATGAAGGCCCTGTGATAGACATTCAGTTTAGACTAGTGTTATTTTCAAAGAGACTATCGTTGGAGATGAAGGATCTAAAGGTAAAAGGTGTCCTGGTTCCATAAAAAGATTCCTCAAGCTCCAAAATTCTTATGTAAATTTACACACACACACAAACACACACACACACACACAGAGAGACAGAGAGAGAGAGAGAGAGAAAGTTGAAGTACATTTCTGCACATATGCATAGGATTTTTCAGAGAGAAAATAGCCTGTCATAAGTGGGATTATTTAGTCTCACTAACATACATGGAACCTTGGAAAATTTTCAGGATGACTATCAGGCCTGCAATCCTCCTATATGGCATGGCTTTTATAAAACGGAATATTAGGGTTTTCAAAGACGTTGGCATGTCACTTATTTATGTATTTATTTTTAAAAATTTTATGTAGACTTTGATGACGCCAGTGGAAGCTGTCCGAGGAGATATATTCAAAAGTTTCACATAGAGATATTTTTAAATATCAGAGAGTGGCATCTTAATTTGAAAGTAAGTGAACTAGAAGCTATGAAATCCTGAGCTGATAGTTAAAATGGAGGCTAGTGTCAACTTTACCTCTTACTAGTTACATGACCATAAGAAGTCATTTTAACCCTCCTGTATACAGTTTATGTACCAGCAAAATAAGGATAATATCCACGTCATGGAGTTGTTATCAGCAATGTCTAGTAGCTGTAAAAGAGAGAGAAGTGCTAATATATTTTTTGTGTATGTGTAGATTATTAATATTTTTATTAATCTCAAGACTAGAAATTTTTAATTCATCTTTTTTCACACTTGTTTATGTCTTAAATAGCTTGATGTTCTTAGCATAGATGTGCAAGCGTTCTTTATCTTGTTTGTTTTTCTGGAAATAAGTGAAATGAATTTAGGGAGAGACAGAAGCAAGAGAAGAAAAATCATGATTCAAAGAGTTCACTTTTATGCACTTAGAATACAAGAAGTTACAAATAGTATTCAAAATGTATATTATTTCCACCAAAAGCCCTTGGAGATGTAACAAAGTGCTAATTGTCTTCACAGATTAGCTTCATCATAAAATGTCTATGCCGCGAGGACCCTTAAAAGCAGCTAGTGGAGGATGTAAAAAATGCACAATGTACCTCCTCTTGTGTCCCTTTCTTGTTCTCATGGAAGACATAACTTATCCATTTTCAGGTACCTTGCTTCACAGTTATTTTCTATTATTCTATCTTATGCTTCCTTTACAATGCCATAGAAATAATATCAATCTACCATCCCAAAATAATCCAACCTGCGTATGGTACTGATGAAAATTGGAATCAACTGCCTAGGGGCAAACAACAACACACAACAACACACAACAACAACAAAAGCAGGGCCGGAGTTAGAATACAGACTTCCTGATACCCATTTATAAGGAAAGGATTTAAAACAAAGTTACAAAACCAAAACAAATGTTAGGAACAAAAGTGCATGTGGTGACCTCCAGACTTTCGTTCCTTTGGGCATCAGATAAAAATCCTATGCATCTGCTGTATTAACATGTCATGGAGAACACTGTCTGTGCTGGTTACAGAAAGAAGTACCAAACAAGCTGCAATGTATATTCAATCAATAAACCATGTTGTAAAGAAAAATGTTCAGCTAGAATTTGGCTTGGAGGAAAGTAGGCTCATTTCTTCTTTTTTAATTTAAGAGTTAACAAAGACTTTTTTTTTCAGTTGATAGGCTGTCTGATAAACCAGAGATGTGATTTGATTATGTATGTGGGTTTTCTACTGGGAGAAAAGTAACCTCGATAATAGAACCAACTCAATAGTGTACAATAATCTTGTTTGCTAACTTTTCAAAAAGACTCTGTTAGAAGAAAACACTGTTATGGGTGAAACTCATATAGTATTTATAAGCCTAAAAATAGTCTAATTGTTTTTAAATTTACAAATTCAACAAATCGCTGAGTCTTGGATTGGGGAAATAACTCACCCAGGGTCACATAACTGGTGGCAGAGCCAAGGATACAGCATTGATTTATATGACTCTGCAGCCCATGCCCTCCCTAGCAAGGAGGATACACTACATCTCCATGTGGGGGTTGTGTATTGATATGGTTTTGCTGTGTCCCCACCCAAAATCTCATCTGGAATTGTAATCTCCATAATTCCTACGTGTCAAAGGTAGGATCAGGTTTAGGTAATTAAATCATGAGACCAGTTTCCCCCATGCTGTTCTCATGAACTTGTGAGTTCTCCCAAGATCTGATGGTTTTATAAACATCTGGCATTTTCCCTGCTGGCATTCATTTTCTCTCCTGCCACCTTGTGAAGAGGTGACTTCCACCATGATTGTAAGTTTCCTGAGGGCTCCCCAGCTATCAGAAATTGTGAGTCGATTAAATCTTTTTCCTTTATAAATTACCCAGTCTTGGCTATTTCTTCATGACAGTGTGAGAACAGACTAAGACATGTATATTACACTAGATTTGTTTATAATGTGTTCAGTTATAATGATTTTTCATATATCACTGTATATATGATTTCATGGCAACACATTTAAATTCAAAACTCTTTGAAAGCAATATATGCAGGCGCATAACTCTTAGCTGTTTAAGATCAAATAAATAAGTGGTTGAAATTCTTCTAAAAAATTTTGAAGTTGCTTATGTGTGAAATATAAATATCTAAATAAATGTATTATAAAATTCTCATATGTACTAAATATATACTAAATAATGTATCTAGTATATATACTATTTTATATGTACTGCTATGTGCACATGATTAGACAGTTGTAATTTATACAGTGCCTCCTCAAAAACATTCATAGAGCTGTTTTGAATTTGCGGGTGATGCAATAGAAAGGCTTCATGGAAACCTTTTATGAGGACAAAGAATTCATTATATACTTACAGCATCATTTACTTCTTTTAAACATTTATAAAAATTGTAACTCTACATTTATCTAGGTGAGAATATAGTAAAGTATATCCACCTATTAGTCTGTAAGTTCCAAGAAGACCAGGTCCTCAATGAGATGTGCTCACTTTTGTGTCTCCAGCATGTAGCAGGTCTAGCACATAATATTCACTCAATAAATCATAGCAAAAAGAAATAAAGGAATTACTCAGATTTGTATCCAGTCCTTCCAACTTTCTCTCAAGTGGAATTAATCCTATATTTCATGAGAAATACTTTATTATCAATATCTGCTATATTGCAGTTTTGTAGAAGGAGCAGATTTCTATCTTCTCTTATCTGACTTATAAAAATAGGCACTGGCTGGGTAGTCAGAGAAAATCAGGCATGGACACTACTTTACACATAAGCCTGATAATTTATTAAATTCAGTGACTGACTAGCTGAGGATGAATGCAGATGTTGCTCTGATGCCTGACTTGTAATACTTGTAGAAAGCTCATGTTTATTTGCTGGGAAACCCCTCCCAAATCTGTCTCATTGCAGAGATGGTATGGGTTAGGGAAATCAATAGAATTAAGACATATGAAAAGAGCCTCAACCTAGTGTTCTGGACAAATAAGTAGATCTGGGATGCAGAAACTAAATCTTCTAATGTCAAGAAACTTTTTAGAAAATTTCTCTAAAAAGAGATCTTAATATTAAAGTCTACCTCATAGACTCTTTATTTTGTGGACAGGAGAAGGAGGAGGAAAGATTGCTAAATCCAAAGAGTAAAGAGTAAGATTCTATAGGTCAGATAATTATTCCAACTCTATTTCAGCTTATTGATAATATATACTTAAATCGATCTTAGAACTGAAGTTAACAAGGCCCACTGCTCTTAGTAAATAAAATGCATCTAGATAGTTATATAACTGCTCAGTCCACAATTTTATCTGCAGTATATGCTAATAGTTCTCTCAATATTGCTATATCATTTGTTAAATTGGAAACCACAAATTAGGTTTTCTCATTACTACCTAAACCACTGGCCAGATTATGGTGTTTTGAAAATATCTAACCCTATCAGTTTTTATCAATGGATCACATGTAATAGTTTCTTTGATTAAATGAATTAAATGGGATTTGGGGCTGTCATGTTTTCATTCAGCTTTTCCAATCATTACTTAAATTATATTTCTGTGCATACAGCTATATGTTAATTTGCATCCAGAGGTTGTGATAAATTATTAAAATTTGTTAAGGATGTGTATGATTCAAGATTGTATTTTATAAAATGAAGAACACACTTTATAGTAGTATTCCCAAATACTGCTAATGACGAATGAGCTTGAGCATGATCTGGTCATGCGTCTATAGACATACTGTGCCTACCCGTGTCTCAGTGATAAAAGATTTTCTTATCCCAGCACTTTGGGAGGCCGAGGCGGGCGGATCACGAGGTCAGGAGATCGAGACTATCCCGGCTAAAACGGTGAAACCCCGTCTCTACTAAAAATACAAAAAATTAGCCGGGCGTAGTGGCGGGCGCCTGTAGTCCCAGCTACTTGGGAGGCTGAGGCAGGAGAATGGCGTGAACCCGGGAGGCGGAGCTTGCAGTGAGCCGAGATCCCGCCACTGCACTCCAGCCTGGGCGACAGAGCGAGACTCCGTCTCAAAAAAAAAAAAAAAAAAAAAAAAGATTTTCTTTTTTTTAAATTTTTTTAAGTTTTTTAAATTATTATTATACTTTAAGTTTTAGGGTACATGTGCACAACGTGCAGGTTTGTTACGTATGTATACGTGTGCCATGTTGGTGTGCTGCACCCATCAACTCGTCATTTAGCATAAGGTATATCTCCCAGTGCTATCCCTCCCCGCTCCCCCCACCCCACAACAGTCCCCGGTGTGTGATGTTCCCCTTCCTGTGTCCATGTGTTCTCATTGTTCCCTGTGCTGGAATTTTCATGGAGTTGCATTAAAGGTATAGATCAATTTGGGAAGAATTAAAATCTTTACTATGTTGAGTCTTCCAATCCATGAATCCATATACTCTTGATTTATTTAGAACTTCTTTGATTTTGTTTACAGAATTGTGTAAGTTTTCAGCACACAGATCCTGTATATACCTAAAAGTTTTATGTTTCAGAGATATTATAGGTGTAATTATTTCAAAATTTTTGGTTTTAAGTCATTTATTGCTAGTGTTTAGAAATTCAGCTGTGTACAAACATTTGCAGTAATGAAAAAGCTTCTTTGTCACTAGTATTACACAGTACAGCTCTGCTAAAGAGGCTTCTTTTCATTCTAGGTTTAAATGTCACCTCCTCTTGAGTTCTCCTATTCAGCTCACCTGAAGGACTCATTTTCTTCTCTGAACTCTTTCACTATGTCTCTCCCTCTCTTTTACATATGATCCTTTTTTACCTTTGCAGACAGTTATTTGGTTGACTGGGTTATTCCTACCAGAACATGTAAGAATCCAGGATTGCCTCTAGAATCCTGAGCACTGATTTTAAAAACATTGACAATTATGCATAGTGCTGCAATAAACTTACAGGTTCACGTATCTCTTAAATATATTGATTTTCTTTCCTTTGGAAAAGAAATATCAGTAGCCAAGATATAGAATCAACCTAAGTGTCCAACAACAAATGAAGAGATAACAAAAAATGTGGTATATATACACAATGGAACACTATTCACTCTTTAAAAAATGAAATCCTGTTGATGCAGGACATGCAACCCCCCAGATTGGGGCTTAGCCTGTAAGGGTTCTAAGATTCTCTCAGGAAAAAATTCAAGGGCAAGTTGGGGGTTGTTCAAAAGCAATCTTTTATTGAACCGAAGCTGTTCCATGTGGAGCAGGGCTAAGAGGCAGTGTGTCTGAAGTCAGCAAGGTATGGGTTCTTGGTAACTGTATTTATACTCACATAAACCCAGCTTAAATGACATGCAAATTAAGGGGTGGATTATTTAGATTTTTCTGGAAAACAGGCCATAACTTCCAGGTCATTGCCTTGGAAAGGGGTGATAACTTCCCGTTTATTGCCATGGCATTTGTAAACTGTCATAGCACCGGTAGGAATGTCTTAATGCTGATGAGCAGTGAGGACAGCTAGGGATCACTTTCATTTCCATTTGCTGCTTGCTGCTAGTTTCTTTACTTTATCCTATCTGGCCCAGATCCTGTTTTGGTCAGCAGGGTTGTGACCAGAAAATAAGTTCTGCTTGTCTCCTATGTTATTCCCTACCTCAGAGGTTAAATACTCCTCTTTAATATTAATGGGGCTGCAGCAGGGCAGACGTCTACCTTCTATAACTGCTTCTTGCTGATTTTATGAGTGCAGTCCCGGACTAGCATTGGAGGAGTAAACTTTCTCTGGATACCTGATCTAAGGAGCTCAGTGGAAGGATGTCTTAATTTTCTGCATCAGAAAATGGGGTGGATTGAAATCCTTGTGCCAGCATCATCTTTATGTGAAATCTAGAAGATACAAACTTTAGTAGGAGGCTGAAGAAGAAAATTAAAATTCAAAACAAGAAAAAAATTAATGCTCCTGTGTCCACATTATTTATTTATATGTTTGAAAAAAAACAGCCTTAAGTTTTCTAGGGTTTATAAGTATAGGTTATGGAGTTCACCTTTTCTGCCTGCAGGGACTCATAAGAAACAGGTTTAATCATAGACAAGTGTACTCAAGTAGTGACTTTCTGAAGTTTAATTGCAATGGGTGTACTTACTAATATCTGATAATGAAAGGCACTTTTATTTTGGTTGTAATTTATTACCAGAGCATCTTTTATTTTTACATTTTTTATAATTATTAGTATGACTAAATTTTTTGGTTGAACAAGGAGCTATTTTTTCTCCTTTGTGGAAAAGGGGAATAGTTTGTTTTCATTACTTTTGAAAGGCATCATGAACCTGGCCTAAATATCAAGGGGGGCATAGTGAAGTCTCCTGTAATGGCTTAAGTTAGTTTTTCAGGTTTCTTTGGGACTTCCTTTGGCCAAGGGACACAGAGTCAAAGATTTATAGCCAATTAAACATTCTAGACCAGGCAGGAATGGAGGTGAGCAGGCACTGATTAACACTTAAAATCCCTTTAAGCAATATAAGAATCCAAAACCAAAACCCAAAAATAAAGTTACACTTAAAAAAAAAACACAAGAGTATAGAATCAAATTATACTTGGAGAAAGATCGCTTTTATAGACCACTAAGATTAAATATTTTATCATCAGGCCAAAATAACACTCAGAACTGGAGGAGAACAAGTTATAAAAGCTGACAAAGAAGCTAAAGGAGAGAGCCATTACCCCAGGCCTTTCTTTTCTGGAGATAGAGTCTCACTCTGTTGCCAGGCTGGAGTGTGGTGGCACAATCTTGACTCACCACAACCTCCACCTTCTGGGTTCAAGCAATTCTCCTGCTTCAGCCTCCTGAGTAGCTGGGACTACAGGCACATGCCATCACAAAAATAATTTTTGTATTTTTAGTAGAGATGAGGCTTTACCATGTTGGCCAGTATGGTCTCAATCTCTTGACCTCATGATCTGCCCGCCTTGGCCTCCCAAAGTGTTAGGATTACAGGCATGAGCCACCATGCCTTGTCCCTACCCCAGGCCTTTCTAAAGGGAGAAAGAGCTGAAAGCAAGACACAATAACAGTTGAATCTTTGAGACACGAATATGAGATGTACTAAGAGACGATGATTATAGCATTAAAAGCAATATTTCCTGTAATTTGGTGAACCAATCCTTTAAGAAAGTTTGGTTTTAACATGAAGACCATTTTTTAATAAATTCTATTATAAAAATTTTCTTTTAATTATAGCTAGCTTAATCACATGCAAAATTTCTTTCATAAATCCCCCTTCATAAACCCTGCCATCACTTACACTGACCATCTACAACATGCTTTGACTTTCTGACTTGTCCAATACTATTTCTTTCTTAAATAACCAGTTATTTTACCCTAGGACAAGAATTTACTACACAATATTCTTTTTGTACAAAATTACTCTTTCTTAGATATTTCCTTGCAAAAAAATAAATTTTTTTTTTGAGGCAGAGTCTTGCTCTGTTGCCCAGGCTGGAGTGCAGCGGCATGATTTTCGCTCACTGCAAGCTCCGCCTCCTGGGTTCATGCCATTCTCCTGCCTCAGCCTCCCAAGTAGCTGGGACTACAGGCGCCCGCCACCATGCCCAGCTAATTTTTTGTATTCTTAGTAAAGACGGGGTTTCACCGTGTTAGCCAGGATGATCTCGATCTCCTGACCTCGTGATCCACCTGCCTCAGCCTCCCAAAGTGCTGGGATTACAGGCGTGAGCCACCATGCCAGACCAAAAAAATAAATTTAATGTGGCACATATACACCATGGAATACTATGCAGTCATAAAAAAGGATGAGTTCATGTCCTTTGCAGAGACATGGATGAAGCTGGAAACCATCATTCTCAGCAAACTAACACAGGAACAGAAAACCAAGCACTTAATGTTCTCAATCATAAGTGGGAGTTGAACGATGAGAACACATGAATGCAGGGAGTGGAACATCACACACCAGGGCCTGTCATGGGATGCGGGATTAGGGGAGGGATAGCATTAGGAGAAATACCTAATGTAGATGATGGGTTGATGCATGCAGGAAACTACTGTGGCACATGTATACCTGTGTAACAAACCCACACATTCTGCACATGTATCCCAGAACTTAAAGCATAAAAAAATACATTTTTTATCTATAACATTCTTTACATCTCTATTTTCTTCTCACTGCTTCCCTCATAATTCGATCCTCCCTTTTAATAACTTCTGAATTAGACAAAAATTATTTCCCACCAATAAACAAATATATTTCTTTGGCACATTTTGAATAAGCCTAGGAAGCAAGAAATTCTGAACTGCCTATGAGAAACTGGCATTCTATACATGAGAACTATTTTGTAATTCTAAGATTTTAAATGACACAACAAGTTCACTATTTAATTATCCATTCTATTCAAATGTGTTTAAGTTTTTTACTTTTAATAAAAAGTAATAAAAAGTTAATTGCCATTTAAAGCCATTTTAACCATTCTAAAGCCTACAAACATTAGTGATTTACCTAGGTAAAAATCTTAAATTTTAGAAAACACATTTTCTTCAGCCTAACAAGTTCAGATTAATCCTATTTGTTTAATTATGAGGGTCCTTTTATTTATAAGCCAGTTTGATAGCATGCTAGACAAAACACACATTACACAAATATTGGGTCAAGATCCCAAGACCTGCAGTAAATTTACTTGAGCAAGTCAGCATGTTGGGGCTAGTGGAAGAAGGTTGGCCTTAATATTGACGGGGAGTTTATTTATTTTTTTTCTTTCTCACCAGAGAGATGGTTAGGACATTATTATTGTCAGTAGCACCTTTTCTTATAGTAAGCACACTGATTCTGACCCAGGGGCCAGAAAATCGAGGGCTCTTATCTGTTTATCCTAGATGCCAATCACACAACACTTTCTTGGGATGGGTAATTCTCAGGTGCCAGGGGCTTAAAGCAACTGTTACTAGTTGTGTTTTTTGGTTATTTTTGTTCTTTTTTTCTCACCTCTTTTGCCCTGTCCCTTTTGTTCTAAACTCTAAAGGTCATATTAAAAGTTGACTCATAGAGATTTGAGGTATTATTGTTGCTTTTATAGCTTCATCATAATGGATGGAGCAGTGGGTCCCATATGAGGCAGTAGCATTAGGGCCACTCACTCATCTGCTCAGCTCCATGGCCTGCCAGGAAAGATGATGACTCTTAAAGGAGCCTTTGGCTAGTGTTACAACTCTATAGCATTGATCACCATCTCACTGTTTCTTACCAATTGCTGCCTCTCACTGTTTTGCCATCCCATCAACTGCCACCTCACCATATCTCCACTGGTGACCAATCACTGCAGTCTCACCCCCTCTCTGCTGATCAGCACTGACTTGCCATCTTACCACCCAATCACTGCCATCTCTGCTGTGTCTCACAATGGTATCAGTCACTGTCCGTCACTTGCTTTCTTTGTCCCCTCATGGTCACCAAATGGTGCAGGACATGTGAGTCCCCAAACTGGGGCTTATCTTGTGTAGGTTCTTAGTTTCTCTCAGGGTAGAATTCAAGGGCAAGCCAGTGTTATTGAACGGAAATCTTTAATTGAACCAGGGCTGCTCCATGTGGAGCAGGGGTAACTCATGGGCAGTGTGCCCAGAGTCAACAATATATGGGCTGCTGGCAAACTTATTTATACTCATGTAAACCCACTTTCAAGTACATGTAAACTGAGGGATGATCAATGCAAATTGTGGGTTGGTTGTTTAGAACTTTCTAGAAAAGGGGAAGTAACTTCTAGGTTATTGCCATGAAAAAAGGTGGTAACTTCTGGGTTTGTGCCATGGCATTTGTAAACCGCCATGGTGCTGGTGGAGTATCTTATGCTAATTAGCAGTGAGGGCAGTTGAGGATTGCTTTCATCGCCATCTGCTGGTTCCTGTGGTATCTTCACTTTGTCAGGACAAGATCCTATTTTGGTTAGCAAAGTTGTGACTACAAAGTAAGTCCAGCTGATCTCCTGCCTCACTATTATTCACAGAAACATATATGATCCTGGAGGACATTATGTTAAGTAAAAAAAGGCACAGAAAGATAAACATCACATGTTCTCACTCAAATGTGGGAGCTGAAATAAATTGAATTCATAGAAGTAGAGAGTAGAATTGTGTTTTTCTGAGGCTGGGAAGATTAGAGAGGAGAGGGATAAAGAGAGAGGTTGGATAAAAGATACAAAATTACAGCTAAATAGGAGAAATATGTTCTATTGTTCTATAGTACTGTAGAGTGAACATAGTTAACAATTTATTGTGTATTTTCAAAAGGCTAGAAGAGAAGATTTTGAACGTTCCCAGTACAAAGAAATAATAGATGTTTGAGGTGACAGACATGCTAATTAACCTAATTTGATCATTACATATATTAAAATATCACTGTGTATCCCAGAAACATGTATAATTATTATATGTCAACTGAAAAGAAAACAGCATGGACTAAAGAGGTTATTTGAACCTTCTATCATTTCTCTCCCAGTGTCATGTGGAAAAAAGATAACTTACACTATTCTTTTTAGATATGTCAATGCTCAAAACAGGAGCAAATGCACTCAGTACGTGGACAACACCATCCCTGAAGAGTTAACCTGGATCTGGGATATCACGAATCCTCACATTCCCCAAAAGGTCCTTTCTGTTCTAATTCATTAGGACTCACCATGGTTTAGTAGGTATTCCAAAGGATTACTCATTTTCTAAAAGAGTGAAAAGAATAGAAATATTTTTTGAGATAACATACTTCATAAAAATCATAGTAAAACATTAAAAATAAAAATCCAAGTACCATGTGTGTTACAAAAAGCTCTAGTTTATCCTTTAGAACAATTTAAGACTCTGAAAACATACGTAGTGCATAAATAACAAAATGTTTTTATAATACGATTTTGTAAAAAGCATATTACAAACAGAATTTACACAGTGCTCTTGCTTTCTACAGAAATACCCAGCTATGAACATGGATGAATTTGTATGTCTGTGAGTATAAATATTCATTAGAATATAATAATTAAGGGCACACATTTTGAATTCACCTGCAAAAAAGTTTATTTACTTAACTAGATATGACTAACTAGAGCAAGTTATCTCTTTCTGCTTTGTTTTTATTACTTATGAGGTAGAACTACTAAAAATAGATAGTCCAAAAGATGGAATGAGATAATGAATGTAAATTGTTGTGAACAGAAATTGCAGCAGAAGAGCAGTTCATAAATACTAGATATCTTATATGTCATGTATATAAACTAAAAGCATATTTTAATAACTATGGCTGTTAATGGTTATATTTAGGTGGTCCAATCTTTGTATTTTATTTCTATTTTCTAGGTTTTCTAATGCTCTCTAATTAATAGGCATTACTTTTCCAACCACAAAAATATCTATTTTAAAATGGTCCCTTTAAGTTTCTCTAATTTCACCTCCACTGAACACTCTGATTTGATTTTTATTAGGGCTATGTGGATATGTGGAAAATATATTACTCAAAATAATATAATACAATGCCCTTCGTATGAAACTTGAGCTCATGCGGTATTAGTTATGAGTGGCCTGTCAGCAACTGTCTGTCCAAATTTAGAAGGTACCAAGAATATCCAGCTTCTAGTTTTTATCTAATTAGCACCAGAAACAACACCGAAGTGAATAAACTGAGTTTTCCTTAGGGAATCTTATCAGGTAGCAGGCAGACAATATCTCTAGTCAGGCAATTGTGTTTTATTAAAGGAAAACATCTTAATACACTTAACTTTCCCAGGAGGCATAGATAATATTTTATCCTCTAACACTAGCATCACCCTCTACTATAAATTCACCAAGAAAATATTCAATAAATATTGTTGACTAAATGCTCCATGAATAAACATTGGGAGCAAATTATACAAATGTGCATTATTACAAAGATTTAAACAGGCAGCAAATCTGTAATGTTGACTGTTAAAGCTCAGTTTTTAACAAAACTCTTCCAAGATTTTTGGCTGATTATCCAGTTTTCTGTGCTTTTCCCATATGGTCAAATGCATGGAACCAGAAGACATATGGCCGGGTTAAATGAGCAGTCTTCAGCTGTACACCTCAGTGGAAACAACTCTCAGGCAAAGGCTGGTGGTGAGGATTCAATGATTTGGACTTCCTGTGATTCGCTAAACTAAGAGAATCTTTCCTTCTAGAAATAAATTTGCAAATATGAAGTCATCCATAAGCTGTTCTTTTATTTGGGACTATATAATGTATACACAGTAATCAAAAACTATTGATTGATTACCCTGTATTTTCCATTGAATGCCTAGATATCTCGGTTCCTGTGATAGTTAATTTTATATATTACCTTGACTGCATCATGGGGTACTTGTATATGCGGTTAAACATTATTCCTGGATGTGTCTCAGAGAATGTTTCTGGATAATATTAACATTAAACCAGTAGACTGAATAAAGCAGATTGCCCTCCCTTATGTAGGTGAATCTCATCCAATCCATTGAAGGTCCAAATAGAATAAGAGTCTGGGTAAGTATTAATTCTTTCTTCCCTTAGTTGTCTTTCAGCTGGGACATCAGTCTTCTGACTTCGCACTTAGCCTCAGAGCAGAACTTACGTCAGTCTTACCTCTTTTGTTACCAGCTTGCCTACTGCAGATCTTGAACTCCCCAGCCTCCACAGTCTTATAAATCAATTCCTCATAAGAAATCTCTCTCTCTCTCTCTGTCTCTCTCTCTCTGTCTCTTTCTCTCCACACACACATACACACACACACACACACACACACACACACACACACACGTATATAGGTTCTGTTTCTCTGGAGAAACATTGGTTCCCATTGTTTCTATCTCCCTGGAGAACACCGACTAATATGGCTCCTTTCCAGCTTTTGCATTAATTTTCTATAAGAGCATCAACATATTTTATAGCTTACACTAAGTCTCAGTTTTCTCATCTGTGAAATCAGATTATTATATCTGTGGTTTATATATCACAGGATTTCAGGAATTTTACTATCAATAAACATAAAGTCAATGAACATAAAAGTGTTTGCTATTTGAAAGGTGCTTTGAAAAGTAGGTCATATAATATTAATTATTATAGATTAAATCCAAATTATTCTTACATGCATGTACAGATTGTAATTGTTTAACAATGACAGACAATACAAAGAACCCATCAATATCTAATGAAATACATGAAAATTGCTATGGTAACGGAATTGAATCATCAAGAAAGTACAAGTTTAAGATTATAAATGTTATATAAAGTTTATTGTATAAACAAATTTTTAAGTAGTCTTCCTTTGCTCAGGGACTAGCATATCAGATTTTGTGTTTTCTCTATGGCATTTATGAGTTGTCCCCTTTATGGAATTCTGATATAGCCATTCTGGTGCAGATGCCACAAGATAGTAATGTCCTGGACTTTTTTTTTTTTTCAGGTTGAGCTCTCTCCCTCATTTCTATCTGGAGCTTTGGAAATAATTGGACATATAAAAAATTTGTTGAAGAAATGAACAAAGTAACTCTCCTGTTATTAGGCAAATCTTGTTGAGACTGAGTGAGTGCTTACACAATTCTACTTTCAGTGGAATTCAATGAATATGCTGCATTTCTGGTTTGGCCAACATCACTACTAGGTTGCTTTCTGTGCATTAGTATTCCAGCCCAGTTACTTCATTCTAGATATAAAGTTCTTTTCTTTTTTTCTGGGTTAAGATTTTTGCTATGTAAATGTTTATTTCTTGCTAGAAAATATAAGTAAATTGCTACAGCGATTTAATTAGTAATTACGCTACCTGTCTTCATTCATTTGGGTGCCTTGGTCCATTTTAGATGGTAGGAGGCAGGTCGTAATTTGGTAAAAGTAAAATAAGCTCTCAATTCTCTCACTTATTTAGGGAATTAGCAATGTGAGCACTCAAAGTGTGCCAGGCATTGTCTTTGAGACACTTTAACATGCAGCTTAATAGCTATTTAATTGAGCACTGACTCTGTGCAAGTCACCTTGTATGTGAATACTATATTGGTAATTCTCATCTAAAATTCATATTGATGACAAAAGAGAAAAATAGGAACCAGGATAATTTTTTCTTTGACCTTAACTATAAGGTTAAGATCCTATGGCTAGAAGTTTTTGAGGTTAGTTTGGAATATTCATCATTTTGTCATAAAAAGCAAATAATTTCATTACATCACATGAACTTGTTTTGGCACTTGCTCAACTTGGATGTTTTAATGCCTTCAACAAGATAAAGTCTTTGCTTGAAATACTGGTGGTTTTACCAAGATGATAACTTCCTTGCATAGCTTTGATGTTGAATTTTCCTTTCATATGCTTTTATTTTGTTTGTTAAACAATTAGTAGATTGATTTGCTAGAAAATTAAAAAAAAACCAGGAATATAAAAAAGTGCTGTGTGTTCCTTTGCTAGAATTTTAAAGTGATTTCATTTCTGTTGAGTGTAGGTTTATCTACTAAAATATTTATGTCAACAGAATTTGAATATGCCTCACAGGTTATGGCTTCACCTCTTTCTTTTGAAAAGAAGACTTTGTGAATTTGGACCGGTGTAGTTAATCATGCTGAGCTCAGTTTCCTCTCTTGCATCAACTTCTCAGCCTGTTTATGAGGATATTAGATGATTCAGATGAATATGCTTTGTAGATGTTACATTTTTTAACATGTAATGTTGCCCCTTTTCCTCCTTTTTGGGACAACTAGTTAACTGACATTTGTATGTCTACCTTTGATTGATTGTATGTTTGATTTTTGGAGAGAAGGATCATTATCTATGTTACTATGTGGCTCAGAACATTTGAGAAACATATTAATTTAGTTTTGTAAGGAATCCTTGATTACTGGTATCACGGCCTCCCTATTATATGGGAGGAGACTAACAAACAGAAAGTGACAGAGCTCAGCTTCAAAAACACATCAATCTTGCCCCAAAGCATTTCTGCTGCACCACATAATATTTCTCTTCATGGATAGATATCCATGTTACTATCCGTGGTTTTTCGGATGCTAAACCATAATGTGTGTGTGTTTGTTTTAAAAATAATCTTCTAGAACTACTTAAGATGAAAATATAGTGTTTTCCAGCAGATCCCACTCAGAAGGTGACATATTCTGCCAATGCAGCAGCCAGTCTGCATGCACTGCTCACACTTCGTCCTTGTTCCTTTCAAAAGGATCACTGCCTCTTCTATCTTTGATGTCAACTCTTATTTCTTGTAATACATTAAAAAGTAATTTACTCTAGCTACCCATAGTGATCGATTTTGATAAACTATCATTTGATATTTTACAAAATCCAAATTACGTCCAAAAGAAGTTACTCTAATTACAAAATATAACTTAATATGTACCAGATCTTCTACATATATGGTTTTATTTAATGCTAAAAATCTTCATTTGCTCAATCAATAACTATTCACTGAGTGACTTCGATGTTCTCAGCACTGTCCTTGACAATAGGGATATAATTGTTAGCAAATACAGACTTCATTTTTTGCCCTTGTGACATTAATAGTCTAATAGTGATAAAGATATTATTCAAATGTTTATACACCAGTGTAAAATTCAACTGGAAAAGTGCTGTGGATGAGATAGATGTACATGTTCATGTGACTGCCCTTAAAAAAAAAAAGATTTTCCATAGTCATGGAGTTCAGGGAAGGTTTGATGGGGAAGCAGTAATGAAACTCAGATCTTAAGAATTAGCGAAATTAATTTATTGAAGAGGGAGGGGGGAAAAATCTTCCAAAAGGTGGGAGGAGAAAAGAGCCAGTGATAAGAGGCAACATGGTCAGTTAAATGACAGAGGAAGAGTGGAAGATAAAACATAAATTGGCATGATACAGTGTAACAGGAAGAAAAAAGCTCATTCTCTTAGATCAGAAAAAGCTTCTTTGTGTAAATACCAGTTAAATTGAGAAGTAACATTTAATGATAACTTTCTCCTAGTCTACTTTTTAAAAAAGTATCTATCAGAACAAAACTGAAAGCTGATTTCAACATACAGTGTGTAAGGAAACTAATTGTGCAATGAAAAAAGTCATAGGAATCATATAATAAAAATGTGGGTATTCATAAATTTCATAATAATATAGTGTTCCTGAGTAAAAACTTTTGGATTTATCTGACATTAGGCATTTTTAGAAACCTTAGACCAGAAAATGGAAGAACTTAGACAGAAAAATATAGAAAAAAAATCATTTAAAAAAGTCACCCTCTATGTGACTTGCTGTGTGACCTCTATATGACCTCTAAGGTTACCTGGTGGATTTTTCACTGGTGGGGAAGGCCTGACTTTTAATGACAGATGATTGGAATGAAAACTTCTCATCCACCAAATACACTTCAAATAATAATTGTAATTAACTTCAACAGTACAACAGAAGAAAAAAAAAATAGCAGGAAGGTGAAAGTTAATTTGCTTTACCCGGCGAATCTGTCCCTGAGTCTCCTTCCTGTCTGTGAAGCACTGATTATATGGATAGTTTAGATATTTTGTGCTGTGACATTTACATTTATGTAGCTGTATATCTGGAAGATGAAGTGATGTAACTGGCATTACTTTTGAAAAATTCAATGTGATGGGACTAAGAACGTGTGACCATATTCCTCTCAAGTACTTTCTGCCGTTCATAAGGTTTGGGTCCCTGTCAGAAATTTATGCTCTACTTATAGGAAAGAAAAAGTACAGATGTGTAATTGAGGATGTAATTGATCACCTGACACATGAAGAATGGCATTTCTTGTCTTGGAAACCTGATTTGACATCAAAACAAGAGGCATTATCAAGGCTTGAATTCTAGTTTCCTTCTTTGTACATATAGGCTTTTCGCTGTAAAAGTAATTAGTATGGAATTGATGAAAAGAGAAGAAATAAATCCCCACCAATTACTCCACCTAATTACCAGCAATAGAAACAATAATAATAATAATTAATTAATTGACTATTCACTATGGTCCTTGTGTTTCAGGTAAATTATTTTTAATCCTTGTACTTACTTTGCAAAGTAAGTGAAACTAGTATCTCTCTTTTATAGATGAGGGAAACCACACAGTGGGATTAAATAACTTATTTGTGCTTTTACTGTGGCATGTGGCTTTTTTAGATATTTTTTCCTGTGTAAATATGTATCTGCATATCTGTTGAGTTTTATATTATATTTGTCATTATATTATGCATTGGCTTGTATCCTTAACTTCTAAAATAATATCCTGTTTTATTACCTATGCATTTAATATGGTTAATGTGCACTAAAAACACACAAATGTATATACCTTATTTTATCTAGCCAGTAATTTATATTTTGACCACTTGCCTTATTTTCCTCTTTATTTTTAACACCATGGATAATAATAATATTTTGTATAAAGCTTTTTTACCTTTTACATTATTTATGCAGGTTGGCTTTCTAGCTAAGTAATTGTTTTGTTAAAAGACATTAGTCTTATTTTTCCAATATATTTAAAACCAAAGCCAAATAAAAAGATATGTGCATATGACATATGTCATAGTCAGTCACATTTGATTAAACTCTATGATTTTGGATTTTCCCAAACTCTTCACCAACTAGGATATAGAAATTCAGGTAGTAAAAATAGCTTCTTATTTAAAAAAATTTTGTGAAATCATCCTTCTGACAAGGAATTATTATTTTTCTTTTCTTCTTCTTTTTTTTTTTTTTAGATAGAGTCTCCCTCTGTCGCCCAGGCTGGGGTGCAATGGCATGATCTCAGCTCACTGCAACCTCTGTCTCCCAGGTTCAAGCTATTTTCATGTCTCAGCCCCCCTAGTAGCTGGGATTACAGGTGCCCGCCACCATGCCTGGCTAATTTTTGTATTTTTAGTTGTGACGGGATGTTGCCATGTTGGTCAGGTTGGCTTCAAACTCCTGACCTCAGGTGATCCACCCACCTTGGTCTCCCAAAGTGCTGGAATTACAGGCGTGAGCCACCACTCCCAGCCTCTGACAAGGAATTATTAACCAGAATATATAAGGAGCTCAAACATCTCAGTAACAGAAAAAGCAAATAATCCAATTAAAAAATATGCAGATCTGAATTTCTAAAGAAGACATACAAATGGCCAACGAGTATATAAAAAAAAGTTCAACACCGCTAACCACCAGGGAAATGCAAATCAAAATCACAATAAGATATCATCCTACCCCAGGTAAAAATGGCTTTCATAAAAGAAATAAATAGAAAATAACAGATACTGGTAAGGATGTGGAGAAAGGGGAATGTAAATTAGTACAGCCACTATAGAAAACTGTATGGAGGTTCCTCAAATTACTAAAAATAGATCTACCATATGGTTCCATAATTCCACTATTGGGTATATATTCCAAGAAAAGGAAATCAATATATTAAAGATATATCTTCACTCTCACATTTATTGTAGCACTATTCACAGTATCCAAAATATAAAATCAACCTAACTATCAATCAATGGGCAATTGGATAAAGGAAAAATGCTGTATATATACACCATAGAATAGTTTTCAGCCATAAAAAGTCAACATAGATAGAACTAAAGGTCACTCTCTTAAGTGAAATAAGCCAAGCAGAGAAGGACAAATATCACATGTTCTAACTTATATATGGGAGCTAAAAAGTGGATCATACGACAATAGAGAGGAGGTTTGTGGTTACCCGAGACTGGGAATGGTAGGGGAGAAGAGAGAATGAAAAGATGTTGATTAATGGGTGCAAAAATGCAGTTTGATAAAAGAAATAAGATCTAGTGGTTGATAGATAGTAGGGTGGATATAGTTTACAATAATCTATTGTACATTTCAAAATAACTAGAAAATAATAATTTGACTGATGGAGCATAAAAAAAAACATAAAGTGATAGATACTCCAAACATACCGATCTGATCTTTACAAATTACATGACTGTATTAAATTATCACATGTATCCCCAAACTTTGTACATCTATGATGTATCAATAAAAACAGATAAAATAAAATAAATCAACATCATTTTTCCATTCTTGGATTATAAGGTATAATTCTGTCTAGGTCCTTAAAATAGAAGGACATACCACTTTGTGAATCTAAAGATATGACTCATTAAATAGTCTGTTCAAAAAGATATTCTGGGCCGGGCGCGGTGGCTCACGCCTGTAATCCCAGCACTTTGGGAGGCCGAGACGGGCGGATCACGAGGTCAGGAGATCGAGACCATCCTGGCTAACACGGTGAAACCCCGTCTCTACTAAAAATACAAAAATTAGCCGGGCATGGTGGCGCGTGCCTGTAGTCCCAGCTACACAGGAGGCTGAGGCAGGAGAATGGCGTGAACCCGGGAGGCGGAGCTTGCAGTGAGTCGAGATCGCGCCACTGCACTCCAGCCTGGGCGACAGAGTGAAACTCCGTCTCAAAAAAAAAAAAAAAAAAAAAAAAAGATATTCTGTGCTCACTTCCATTTCAACTTGTCTATTCCATTCCTATTAATAACATTTTAAATGCTTGAATTAATATGGCAGAACATAATTAGCTAAATTCACTAGAATATAGCAAATCAATTTCTATTATATGATGTAAAATAAATGTGATGTCCTATAATGTTTATTAACTGATTATAGTAGAGACTTAAAGTAGATAAACAAATTCTAAGTATGCAAATCTACAGGCATTAATTTTAAATATGTTTAAGAACGTGTGGTTACACTATATGCATAATTTTGTGTATCTGTATGTGTGTGAATTCTCTTTTTAGATCATATTCGTGTCTTCCTAAAACAAATCTTAATCTAAATATATCAACAAATGACTTCTATTAATTCATTCAGTAAAGCACCTGTTCTGTACCAGATTCCCTATCATCTTCTAAGTATATGATAAAAGATTAATTTATAATAACAGGTATAATAATTTTTGTTAAATTTATTCTTTCTATGGTGACCTCAAATGCATTATTTCAATCCTCATATCTTCCGCACCAAGCAAAAACATTGCTATCCTTGTCACAGGTGAGAAAACTTAACAGTCACTTGCACAACATAATGTAGCTAGTAATTGGGTAAATAAAGATATTCAAGTCAGGACTATGTGGTTGCAAGTGGCAGGTATATAAATTGAACTATGGTGGAAGTTTGGAAATAACTTTATTGGAGGGTATATTAATAACCTATTGCTGAGCACAATCTACCTTAAAACTTAGTTACTTAGGAGTTATTTAGCATTTCTGGTGCTGATGAAATCCTTCAGCTTTTGTTTGTCTGGGAAGGTCTGTATTTCCCCTTTATGCTTGAAGGATATTTTTGCCAGATACACTATTCTAGGGTAAAAGTTTTTTTTTTCCTTCAGCACTTCAATATGTCATCATACCACTTTCTTTTGACCTATAAGATTTCCACTGAAAAATCTGCTGCTAGACATATTGGAGCTTAATAGTATGTTATTTGTTTCTTTTCTCTTGCTGATTTTAGGATCCCTTCTTTATCCTTGATATTTGGGAGTTTGATTATTAAATGCCTTGAGATAGTCTTCTTTGGGTTAAATCTTCTTGGTGTTCTATAACCTTCCTGCACTTGGATATCAGTATCTTTCTCTAGGCTTGGAAAGTTATCTGTGATTATCCCTTTGAATAAACTTTCTACCCCTATCTCTTTCTCTACCTCCTCCTTAAAGCCAGTAAGTCTTAGATTTGCTCTTTTGTGGCTATTTTCTAGATTCTGTAGGCATGCTTCATTGTTTTTTATTCCTTTTTATTTTATCTCCTCTGTGTACTTTCAAATAGCCTTCTTCAACCTCACTAATTATTTCTCCTGCTCAATCAGTTCTGCTATTAAAAAACTCTGATGCATCCTTCAGTATTCCAATTGCATCTTTCAGCTTCAGAAATTCTGCTTGATTCTTTTTAATTATTTTAATGTCTTTGTTACATTTATCTGATAGAATTCTGAATTCCTTCTCTGTGCTATCTTGAGCTTCGTTGAGTTTCTTCAACACAGCTATTTTGAATTCTTTGTCTGAAAGGTCACATATTTCTGTTTCTCCAGGATTGGTCCCTGGTGGCTTATTCAGTTCATTTGGTGAGGTCATGTTTTCCTGGATGGTGATGATGCTTGTAGATGTTCTTTGGTATCTGGGCATTGAAGAGTTAGGTATTTACTATAGTCTTTACTGTCTGACTGTCTGGGCTTATTTGTACCCCTTCTTCTTGGGAAAGCTTTCCAGATATTATAAAGGAATTGGGTATTGTGATATAAGCTATATCAGCTTGAGGGGGCACCCCAGCCCAGTAACACTGTAGTTCTTGCAGACTCATCGAGTTGCCGACTTGATGATATTGGACAAGATACAAGAGAATTCTTTGGATTACCGGACAGAGACTCTCGTTCCTTTTCCTGACTTTCTCCCAAATGAATGGAGCTTCTTTCTCTGTTTTGTCACCAAAAGCTGGGGGTAAAGTGACACAAGTACCCATGTGGCCATCACTATTACTGCACTAGGTCAGACCTGAAGCCAGCACAGCACTGGGTGTCAACCAAGGCCTGCTGTAACTACTCCCTGGCTGTTGCCTATGTTCACTCAAGGCCTTGAGGCTCTACAGTAAGCTAGTCACAAAGCCAACAAGGTTTGTGTCCTTCCCTTCAGAGCAGTGAGTTCTCTCAGGCCCTAGAAGAGTCCAGAGGTGCTGTGGGCTGTGTGGGAATCAGAGACTAGAGTCAAAAACCTGAGAAATATATCTGGTATTCTATTGCACTGTGGCAGAGCTGGGACGCAAACCACAAGATGAAGTCCTTCCCACTCTTCCCTCCCCTTTACAAAGGCAGAGGATCCTCACCCCATGGCCACTGCCACCACAGGCCACGGGGAGTACTGCCAGACTACCACTGATGTTCTGTTAAGGCCCAAGGACTCTCAAGTCAGCTTGTGGTGAATGCTGCCTGGCCTGGGACTCACTTTTCAGGACAGCGGGCTCCTCTCTGGCCCAGGGTATGTCCAGAAATGCTGTCTAAGAGTCAAGTCCTGGAATAAGGGACTCCATTTGGTGATGTACCCTCCTGTGGCCTTGCCGGTACCTAAGGAGCAAGACAAAGTTTCCTTTACTCTTCCCTCTGCTTTTCTCAAGAAAAAGGAGTTTCACCCCATAGACACCACTGCTAGGAATGTTCTGAGTCTCCCCTGAAGCCAGCAAGTTTCAGAGGCTCACCCAAGGCCCTCCCTGTAGTACCTGAGTATTACTGCTAGTTATTCAGGGTCCAAAGGCTCTTCAGTTAGCAGATGATGAATGCTGCCAGGACTGGGTCCTTCCCTTCAAAGCAGTGTGTTCCCTTCTGGCCCAGGGTGTGTCTAGAAATGTCATTCAGCAGCTAGGGTCTGGAATAGGGGCCTCACAACTCTGACTGGTGCCCTATCTTGCTGTGGCTGAGATGGTATCCAAGATGCAAGACAAAGTTCTCCTCAATCTTCCCTCTCCTCTCCTCAAGTGGAAGGAAGGGGAGTTGTCTTTTGGAGCCGTGAGCTGTGCAGCCTGGGTTTACAAGAGGGGTGATGCCAATTTTTCCTTAGCCACCCTGTGTGTGTCTCAGTAAGTCATATGACCCCCCAGTCCACTGGTCCTGAGCCTAGTTCAGCACCAGGACTTGCCCAAGAGTTGCAGTTCATATGGTCTAGACTGCTTTTCAAGTTTACTCAGAGACCCAGAGCTCTTCAGCCCATGGTGGTAAGGGTTGTACAAGCTCAAGTTCTAATCACTGGGATCGGTGATTCCCCTCTGCCTATGGCTGGTTTAAATGCTCCCTCTGTGGGTGGGTGTCAGCTGAGTTTCCTCCAGTTTTTCTTTCTGTTCTAACAGGACAGGACGGCACTGAGTTCAATGCCTCACAATTGCTGTGCTCTCCCTTTCCCAGTGCACAGAAATACTCTCAACACCATGCTGGGGTTGCTGGGGGTGGGGGTGGCATGGCATTGGTGATTCAGGACTGTTTTTTCTACTTCTTCAGTGCCTTTTTTTTTTTTCAGTAATGTGCAGTTAAAACCAGGTACTATGAGTGCGCACTTGATTTTTGTTTTTTTCTGAGGTTTTATTTGGTGTGTGTAGATAGTTGTTAAATTGGTGTCTTTGTGGGGGTGGGGTGATTAGTGAAGCCTTCTTTTCAGCCATTTTGCTCCACCTCCAATTGGCTATTTTAAAAATAACTACTAAAGGTAATATTAAAGAGATCAAAAGTAAGACTGAAAGAGCAAGAGAAAAATAAATTAGCAATAGTGTAAAATGAAGGATTTACTGTTAGGGATTCCGAGAAACACCTGCAAGTGGCTTTGTGATTTAAGAACTGAATGCTTCTGAGAGCACAGAAGCCTTGCCTGCCCTAGCTTGTTCTTACCCAGACAAGAAATGCGCAGCTTCATCTTCTGGCATTGCAATATAAAGTTTATCATCAAGAGGTTGCCTCTTAACAATGTCTTGCTAAGAATACCAGTGAAGAAAGTTGGATGCCACCCCAGTTTGGGAATAATTACTACGTATGTGTTTTCACCAGGTTACTTTGTCACTTAAAGTGTTAACTTCCTCTGAGCTACTACTTCAGTTTATCTCTATTGCCTATTATTTTCTATCCTCTTAAATGGAATCATATTGTGAAACTACTCAAAAGCTGTTAAAACAACTTGTAAAACATTTCAAACTAAATGCATGCAACCATTTTATTTTTCAGGAAATGTGTAACACTAAGATGAATACTAATCAATGTTGGTTCATGGTGTATTAAGTAGTTCTGAAGTAGTTTATCAAGAAAAAAATATAGAGGGGATATCTTCTGAAGGACATTAAGCCTAAAGTCCAATTTGCTAAATCTTCCTTTCAGAAGGAAAATAGGAAGCAATTGCAATGGACGCAGCAGGGATGCTAAGTTGTTCGGAATTGTTCTTACCATTAAATAAAAAACCCAACTAAAGGGTTCTTTTAAAGTAAGAGGCCAGGAAAGATGCATTCAATTTAGGACCTAGACTCAAGCATCTGGACCTTTAAAAAAGGGAGCTAAAATTTGTCTAACTTTCTTTGTTCATAGATAAGAAAAGTTTTTCATGGCCATAGTAGAAGTCAGAGGTGAAATCGGAAATTCCAATTTGCTTCATCAGGGAATTTCTTTTAGGTGGATTTTAGGATTTTAAATATTATTAAATACTAAGAGTGACATTTGCTACTTGGTGTTTAATATGTAGTAGTTCACATGTTAATTCCTCTGGGAAGGATTTACATCTTCAAAAGTTAAGAAAATGACAAATATAATATTGCAGAAAGAACAAGTCAATTTTTACTGAGTGTATCTATGCCTTCAAACAAAAAAACTGAGTGCCTATCAAGCGTCTCATTGTTCTCTATAAAGTAAATGATATTGTTAAGACAGGTACTGTTGCAGCTCTTCTGATTCAAAGTGTTTTCTCTGCGATTAGAGAACCAAAGATAGGTAAAGTTGACATCTTAGCATTATTCTATTCTGACACTTTGTTCCCCTTTTCTAAGAAATGGAATATAAATGTACATCTGCTCCAATTTTCTACTCACACTGGACCTCCTCAAGTTCTTTTTCACCACATGATTAAAAGCAATGTCTGACTCATTTGAACTTGACATTCATGTTGTATTTTTCTTGTATTATGAGTCTTTCTTGAATCTCTGTTGCTTCTCCAGAGAAACAGTAATCTCCTAAATAGCAGAGATAACCATACTTAATGTATAGCTGGGATCTTTGCAATATGTTATAGTTTTATTTTGTTTCTACTCTTTTCCTTTGCTTCGTTGTCTTTAAGTTTTACACTCATGATGCCTTGAGTTTGAATCCAGACTCTCATGTTTACCACTTGTGTGAGCCATGAGTAGTTTTTCTGATGGCTCAGTGTTTCAGCTTTTCTGTCTGTAAAATGAAGGTTACCAGTATAGATAATTCTTAGGTTTTTGTAAGCATGAAATGAGATTATACCTGTAAAGTGCTTTAAAGAGTGTCTAGTACTTGCTAGGCATTGAAATAATATTGCAAATTCATATTAACTTGGTAACACTCTATTATTATTATTTGCAATAATATTACAAATTCATATTAACTTGATAACACTCTAATTATCAAGCATAGCATACATGCATATAATAATTATAATCATACATTGTGGAATATCTGGAATATATATTGGTATAAAGTTTGAAATAATTATACTATTAGTGATGTATTTGGTGCTGACACTTGAATACATCTGACACTAATGCATAAATATTTAACGTTTAAAGACTAAATAGTATTTCTTTTTAGGTTCACAACAGTTATATCCTGTCTCCACTGTATCACTGCAACTCCAACCATATGTAAGTCCTGGAGCAAACATATCTTGATGTCCCCAAAATCTTTAACTATTCAATTCTCTTAGTTTTTTCTGCTTTTCTCTCCCACTAACTTTTTGAATCTAATTTTAATTTTAATTAAAATTTATTATTATTTTTTTTTGAGACAGAGTCTTGCTGTGTCGCCCAGGCTGGAGTGCAGTGGTGCAATCTCAGCTCACTGCAAGCTCCACCTCCCGGGTTCACGCCATTCTCCTGCCTCAGCCTCCTGAGTAGCTGGGACTACAGGCGCTTGCCACTGCACCCGGCTAATTTTTTGTATTTTTAGTAGAGATGGGGTTTCACCGTGGTCTTGAATTCCTGACCTTGTGATCCACCCGCCTCAGCCTCCCAAAGTGCTAGGATTACAGGTGTGAGCCACGCGCCAGGCCTTAAAATTTAATTTTAATTAATTCTACCTTCCCCCTGTTCTATCTTCTCTCACTCTTAGAAAGTAAATCTAGAGATCTTTCTTAAATTCTTGCTTCTTGTTCACATAGGAATTTTTCATATTGACCTTATATTAGGGTATTATTTATCTAGCAGTACAGTCATGTGACACACAATAATGTTTTGGTCAACTATGGACCACATATGTAATGGTGTTCCCACAAGATTTTAATGGAGCTGGAAAATTCCTATCGCCTAGTGATGTCATAGCACAATGCATTACTGAGGTATTTGTAGCGATGCTACGGTAAATAAGCCTACTGCACTGCCAGTCATATAAAGGTCTAACACATTTGTGTAGAGTACATAATACTTGATAGTGATAATGAACAACTGTTACGGGTTTATGTGTTTACAATACTACATGTTTTATTATTGTTTTAGAGTCTATCTCTTCTCCTTATTTAAAAAAACAGTAACTGTAGAACAGCTTCAGGCAGGTCCTTCAGAAACTGTTTCTGAAGAAAGCATTGTTACCACAGGAGATGACAGCTCCATGCTTGTTATTGCCCCTGAAGACCTTCCAGTGAGACGCGAGGTGGAAGTGGAAGACAGTGATATGGATGACGCTGACCTGTGTAGACCTAAGCTTATGTGTATGTTTGTGTATTAGTTTTTCAGAAAGTTTAAAAAGTAACAATAAAATAAATTAAAACATTTTAAAGTAGAAAAAAGTTTATAGAATAAGAATATAAAGAAAAATATTTTTATACAGCAGCATGTGCTAAGTATTCTTACAAATAAATTTAAAAAATTTAAAAGTTTACAAAGTTTGAAAGTTACAGTGTAAGGTATGGGTAATTTATTATTGAAGAAAGAGATATTTTAAAAATACATTTAGTGGGCCAGGCACAGTGGCTCACGCCTATAATCCCAACACTTTAGGAGGCAGAGGCAGGTGGATCACCTGAGGTGAGGAGTTCGAGGCCATCCTGGCCAAAATGATGAAACCCCGTCTCTACTAAAAATACAAAATTAGCTGGGCATGGTGGCAAGCATCTGTAGTCTCAGCTACTCAGGAGGCTGAGGCAGGAGAATCGCTTGAACCCAGGAAGCGGAGATTGCAGTGAGCCGAGATTGTGCCATTGCACTCCAGCCTGGGCAAGTGAGTGAGACTCTGTCTCAAAAAATAAATAAATAAATAAATAAAATAAAAATACATTTAGTGCACTTAGTGTAGCTTAAGTGTAAAGTATTTATAAAGTCTACATTAGTGTACAATAATGTCTAGGTCTTCACATTCACTCACTCACTGACTCACCCAGAGAAACTTCCAGTCATGCAAGCTTCATTCGTTGTAAATGCCCTATACAGGTGTGCCACTTTAAATCTTCTGTACCATATTTTTATTGTATGTTTAGATACATAAATGCTTCATTGTATTATGATTGTCTACAGTGTGCAGTACAATAACATGCTATACATGTTTGTAAACTAGAAGCAACATGCTATACCATATAGCCTAGGTATATAGTAGGCTATGGTATCTAGGTCCGTGTAAGTACACTCTATGATGTTTGCACAACGACAAAATTGCCTAATGATGCATTTCTCAGAATGTATCTGATTCATGATGATATTCTCCTATTAATCTTGGACTCATAGAGAAGCAAAGAAGAGACAGTCTTATTGGCACTGTTTCCCATTTTAAACCACACAGAGTATATATAAGGTTACTTCCATTGCTCAATAAGGTAAATAGAGACCCAGTTCATAAAGGTGTCAGAATGTGTCAGAGAATGTGGTTACTGTGACATTTAACAGAAGGCATTTATTAGCTTTTAAGCACAGAAAGAAAAGGAGAAATCTCTGTGAGTATTATTATCATGTGAAATCCTTCCAGAATTGCTTGCCTGCTTAGTGGCTGCAATGTACTGCCTCCTTTTTATGTTGCTGTTATACACACACAGATTAATTTCTGTCTAGTGCTTTGGAGCTCCATTAGATTGTTTTTGATGACTAAACTAACATACCTTGAAAGACCTTTTTATTGAATTTTCCAGGCCGTCAGAAGACTTGCCAAAGGGATTTTTGTATAAGAGCCAAGGCTTTTTATTATATAGTGATTTCACACATGGTCTAGTGAGAAAAGACCTTTAATTTTTGCCTTGTAGAGGCCACTACACAACAAAATGGGGAGATGAGACATTGACAAATTTCTGTTGACATTTCGCAAGGATGTTCTGGTCTGGGGATAGTTCTTAGTTGAACTTTCTACAAGGGGAAGTGGACTCTGAGATTTCCTGTACCTTCATCTGGCACGTCATTCAGTCTCTTGATATTTCTGTTGTAGAGACTATTGGGATGTCTGATGGTATATATCAAATACCCACTATGAACTAGGTACTGTGCTGTAACTATCCATTTGTTATTTCATTGTATCCTCATACCAACCATAAAACAGTAAGTAACATTACTATAATTTTACAGAAAAGTAAAGCAACCCAATTAAGTGATTTGGATAACATGGAACAGATTACAATGTGCATATTTTTGAGTTACAGGTGAGTTTTTCTAGAAAAGATCTTTTACTGTTCTAATGGTAAGATTATAGCATCTTATTTCTAATAACTGCAGCCAAGGTTATTAGAAAAATAACAGCAGGAATTGGTTGTTGATTTAAGGATTTTGTTTTATAATGTACTTCTTTCTTCTTAAGTGAGTAGTCAGTACCTAATTTGAAAAATATGCACATGCATTAATGTATAAAGATGAAAATGATAATCAGCCAAATCCTACCATTCAGAACTAATTAAAGGCAGTCCTTGCTTTGTACGTTTTCAATAGGGATATTCCAGTGGCAATGCCTTATTAAAATAACACACCAGTCCCTCAACAACACAGTTCAAATGTCCGTTACCACAGTCTATTAACTGTGAGCAATTGCATAAAGTACAAACTTCACTGTTAACTCTTGAGTCCACAAATCACTACATGAATGGCAAATGTGCATCATGATCCACTGATCAATCACATTACTTCTTATCACATTTGGCAGTGACTGGACACTGCACATCTATTTTTTAGGTCATGCATAGAAAAGAAGTTATGTACTTGTGTCACCTCCTTATCTTCCAGTGATGAACCCATGGTAACATTTTACAAAATTTGAAAATCAAAAGAAAGAATTAGGTAGCAAGGATGAATGTGCAGAAAAGAAACAAAAAGTGGTAGCATTGAAAGTGAAACTGGATTTGATTAGAATATTTGAAAATGGCAACAGCAAAGTGATGAGCATCCTGGAGGAAGTAACAACAGTATGTATACAAGATGACAGAAGTGTTTACCGTACTTTGTTTGAATTGAACATGAAATGGAGTTATAGAATAAATAGCTGACCATGGGAACACTGCCACTGCCACAGTTTAAGAGACTCTAGGTATGCAGTCAGAGAAACTTAGTGAAGGTAAATTTACTCACATACATGAGGAACGTGTCTGTGACAAAAAAGATGAAACTAACCCAGAGGAAATGATACTCACAAAAACTTCACAGTAAAAGAATAGCTCCTTTAAAAGTTTAGTTCAGCGGCATTTTATGACATATAAAGTATGAAGAATAAAGTGTTGGGGAAGATCCAAATGTAGAAAGGTTTATCATAATTTATTAATACTAGAAAAGATACCCTATATGGTAAATTATACAACAAGAAGAGAATAAGCACAGTTCAGACTATACCTGATTAGTTTATTTTTTTTGGCATGAAATAAAACATTTTAATGCATAAGTCTCCAGTGTTTTCATTAGAGCACACAAAATAAATCTCGATTTACTACTTTCTTTTTATTTCCCAGATATATCTGTGATCAAAAGTAAGAGAGTTTTCATCATTTTGACAATTTTTATAAAGATCACAGACAATCACAACATTTCCAACTGATTTTTAAAACCACTTTTCACTTTTTTTTTTTTTTGAGACAGAGTCTTGCTCTGTTGCCCAGGCTAGAGTGCAGTGGCGCAATCTTGGCTCACTGCAACCTCCGCCTCCCGGGTTCAAGCAATTCTCCTGCCTCAGACTACTGAGTAGCTGTGATTATAGGCGCATGCCACCTTGCCCAGCTAATTTTTGAATTTTTAGTAGAGATGGAGTTTCACCATGTTGGTCAGGCTGGTCTTGAATTCCTGACCTCGTGATCTGCCTGCCTCAACTTCCCAAAGTGCCGAGATTACAGGCATCAGCCACCACACCTGGCCCCACTTTTCACTCTCTATGTGCATGGATATGTTTGCGGCTCTGCACTACTGTCCAAACTGAGGACATCCAGTACTGGATTTTGTATAAAATGATGTGTTTCTCATGACCAGAGTTCACTTAATTTTATCCTAGAAGACCTAATCTATGTTGGAACATTTGCGTTAATCCATGGCTGTTCACCAGCTTTGGGTTGCATGGTGTAGCTATACCTAGGGACTCCGATACTTAAGGTCTGTCTCCAACCCAAAACTGTATTTATTATAATGATGCATAAATCTAACAGCTACATGTTCTCCACTGTAAAAGTAGAAGCCATTTTAAATCTCTCTGGAAATAATTATTTACTTCCTGATTCCAAATGACAACTAGATTTCTCTTTTTATCCCCAAAGCTACACGACATTTCTTGCACAAAGACACAAAAGAAACAACTGGTAATATCATCAATCGCTTCATATTAAATCATTTTGATAATTTTGATGTACTATACAAATTACATCATCATTTATTTTGCTTTGTTCAATGAAAATTATAACATAGGCTTTCATTTTTAAAGGAATTACTCCTTAATACGGATACAGTACTGTATGAAAAGACATCACGTGGCTGAATTATAATTAGTTTCTTGTTGATGACTTAGGTGGATTTAGATTTTAGCAATTCTAAACATGACTGCAAAAAATATCTTTTTCTTCAAATTGTTCACATTTGAGATTATTTCCTGTGATATTATTAAGTTAGAAAGCATAAACAAAAGAATTTTGATATATATTATAAACATATTTTCTGGTAGTATACTTTTAATTTCCTTTGCTTTAAAAAAAAACATTCTGGGTGAATTTATTCTAACAGGATCTGAATCCCTCTGCTCATAATGGAATAATAGTTCACAAAAATGATGTGGCAGGATTTTGTTCTGCCTTCAACCTGCACATAGAGTAGCAAGCAAAGGCAGTGAAAGGAAGTTCATTTTCATATTCCTATTTAACAAAGGATTATTTCAAGGCACAATACTATTGTATGTAAGTTACTGGAACCAAGGCAAAAAATCTACATTGGAATCACATTTCCAAGGTATGTGACTGCAAATACATGTTTTGACATGTTTTTATTCTGAAGTTCAAGAGAAAAGATATAATATTTTCTTGTTCATTGTTATCAATTCAGGAAATAAACCAAAAAGTATTTGCAGATTAAATCTTTCTATGTAGACTCCTTAATCTATTGGCAGAACTAGTTTATCTGCTTTCCTGTTAGTATGCTTGTCTGGTCCAAAGAAATGCCTACAAATCACTAGTATGTCACTGTTCCACTCATTTGAGGCTCAAGATCAATATGAGGCATTGAAAATAAAACCAAAATATTCTACAACAGCAAATAGAATTGAGAAATAATTTTGTAAACATTTTGAAGACTTTTATTGCCTTGAAGTGAAAACATTTCATTTTATAATTATCAAGTGTTTGTTAACTCTTTACTATGTATATCAATCATGTTTCTTAAAAATATTCTTGTAAAAGAGGGAGTCTTGCATGAACAAACATGACCTGAGTCTTCTGCCCACAGTCACATACTGGCTTATCAAAAAGATTATCAAAGCATTTAGATCACCTGTTCACCTGTTGCTTTTTTTTTAATCCCCTCTTAATCTCTTTTACTTCACCTTAAAATATTGATTATCAAATATCATGTATGAAAAACTGAAGAGGTTCTGTAAGATGTCATTTTTTATGGAAGATGATATATTTATATACTTATTAGAATTGAGTATCCAGCTAATTCAAAGCTAGATGCCAGTGTTTAAAAGATCTAGCCCAATCATGCTTGCCCTTAACTTGGGCTTGCACAGTTCAACATCACACCTGAGTATCTGTGGAATTTATCAGGATTCTTAACCCATAATGGGCTCTGAATTCCATTTATATTTCCCCCAACACTAGGTAACTGCTAAAATCTTTGCTGAGCTTCTCAACCTCTATGAGGTACATTTCTTTTTATTCTTTTAACTTCCTACTCTGTATGGAACAAATACCAATGAGTAAAGAAATTTAGGTAATAAGCCAAAACAGGGACCTAGATCACTCTAATGATCAGATCTTAATATAAAAGTGGCAAATACTTTTAAGGAAATAGATGACAAGGTGAAAAATTTGAACAGAAATTGGAATCTATATTTAAGTATTAATAGAAATTTTAAAACTGAAAAATAAAATTTTAGTTTGTAGATTTATCAACAGAGCGGACATAGCAGATTAAAAAGGAAAGAAAGAAAATAGTGAATCCAAAAATCTGCCAAAAGAAAACATCCAGATTGAATCACAAAGAGCAGAAAGTGAAAGAATACATAGAAAATAATGTCAGAGACAATAAGATAATGGTTACAGGTAGTAACTAAATGTAATTAGAAACTCAAAAAAGGGAGAGAGATATTGACAAAGAAGCAGTATTTAAACAGCTAATTCCTTGGAATATTCCAAAATTGGTAAACACCAACAACCTGTAGTTTTAATGTATTCTAGGAACTCCAAGGAGGAAAAACCAAAACTATAACCAAAAGCAACACCTAACAAAAACAAAGAAACATAAAAACCTTAGGGATATAACTGTACTGAAAGCCAAAAGCAAGAGAAAATGTTAAAAACAGACAAAAGAAAAATATACATTATCAAAAAAAGAACCACTTTAAGTTTTAAAGGTTATGTCTCAGCAACAATGATGGAGCCCAGATATAAAAAAATAGTATCTTTGGAGTGCTAAAAGAAAATAACTGCAAGGTTGATTTCTATAACCAGTAAAAGTATCCCTCAAAAATAAAAGTAAAATAAAGACATTTTGACAAACAAAAGCTTAGAGAATTGGAAAAGAGCAGACTTACAGTAAAGAAATTGGGAGAAAATAAAATGTTTTTCAAGCATGAAAGCAGAAGAAAATCCCAGACAAAAAATCAGAAATGAAGAGAAAGAAAGACCATCTCAAAGGGTTAAATATGCTGCTAATTTAAAAGTATATTATCTATTTTACACAAAACTATAATATCCCTTGAAATTTAAAATATGTGTAGAAATAGAATACATGGCAACATTAACAGAAAATCAACTTTTAAGTGGAGCTTAAATATCCAAAATACTTACATTTTCTGGTCAATGGTAAACCTACTAATTTATACTAGACCCTACAGAGTCAAGAATATTCAATGTGATTTAAAGAAAACACAAGCAATATTAGAGTAAAAGCATGCATATTTAGGAACTAGTAGAAACATTGAATAACTAAAATATAAATTTCATTAATAAAAAGATTAGAAGAAACAAAGAAAGATTGAACTAAGAGAAAATAAAAATTTAAATAATAGACTTAAACCAAAATAAGTCAATATGTTAAATATAAATACATGAATGCTTCAACAAAAAAATAAGATTTTCAGACAGGAAAAAAAAAATCAACTACATCCTCTTTCTAAAAGTCACAAACTATGTATAAGAAAGGAGAAAAATTAAAAGTAAAATGGTAAAGTTCTGGTTACCATTTCAAGATGTAAGGGGCTTGGAAGTTATCACTTGCATGGACAGAAGAAGAAAAAATCCGAAGAAACTGAAAATCCACAACTTTTCTTGGGTCCAAGGGAGAACTCAAGTCCCAAGACAAAAGTGTGGACTGTGACAATTGTAGAAATGGTTAAATACAGAGAGTCATTGCTGATCAGAGAAGCCCGCTTGCATCAACCTGCCACTGAGGCAAGTAATGGGGTAGAAAAACTTAAATCATAATAGGTGAAAGACTGGAGGCTCAGTGTGAAAAAACTTGAGAGTTAAATACTCCAGGGGGCCTAGTCTTAAGGGAGCCCCAAACTTTCTTGAGTTTTACCTCCAGGAACCCCACTAGGTTCTTGGTATGCAGAATGAAAAAAAAATCCCCTCATATTTATCAGGTGGAAAAGAAAAGTAATAGTTTTTAAATACTTCTGAGTATTCTGTTCTCTTTAACAAAAGTCTGCCTGCAAAAGAAACTATTTTGCCAGACCCTTACAGTTTTGAGTTGCACCAAAGAATAACCAATCTGGAGCAAGAGAAATACTTAGTTCTAGCCCCCAAGCCCCCTAGAAATATCAACAAGAAGAAATAACCCAATTAACAAATAGGCAAAAGTTCTAAACAGACAATTCACCAAAGAAGATAAATAGATAGCAGATGTGCATATGAAAGATGCAAATAAAACTCCAACTTTTATTTGCAGCTCCCTAATGAAAACCTCATGTTTTATTGGAGAACTGCAAGTAAAAATGAGAAACCACCATACACCTATTAAAATGCTTAAAATCCAAAACACAGAATCAAATTCTAGGGAGGACATGAAGCAATAGGAACTCTCATTCATTGCTGATAGAAATGTAAATGGTACAACCACTTTGGAAGGCAATTTGGCAGTGTCTTGCAAAACTAAACATACTTTTATCACAAGATTCAGCAATTGTGCTCCTTTCAAATTAATTGAAAATACATGTCCATGCAAAACATGCAAATGGGTGTTTATAGGAGTTCTATGCATTATTGCTAAAATTTGACATAAGGAAGATGGCCTCCAGTGTGTTAATGGATAAACAAACTGTGGTATATGCATGCAATGGAATATGATTCAGTGATAGAAATGGGTGACTGGACAAGACATAGAGGAATGTAAGTCAACATTGCTAAGTGAAAGAAGTCAAACTGAAAAATCTACAAACTGTATGTCTAAATACTGTATGACATTCTATAAACCAATGTTGCCTCAGTCTGTACCTTTTTCCCTTTATGATATTGCTGGTACCACACATTTTGCAGATAATGATGTATGTTGAGCCCAAAGTGAATTTTAGAATATCTCTACCTCAGCATGGCACTTGCCATATTCTAAAAGGAACATTACATTACACACGTACTGAAATACATATCAATTTTAGGTATGTGCTCTCAGCTGATTGTGAAAGGTAAATGAAGAAGCAAGTGAAAAGGAATATCTAGCCTTAATTACTACAAACATGAATGTAAAATTATTTAACATATTTAGGCTTTTTTTCTTCTGTAATTGTGAGTTTAGGACTAAACAATAAACAATTTGTAATGACCCAGTTGAGCACTAAAATTCTGCATATGCGCATACACACAACCACATAAACAGAGGAAGTCTTGACTTAATGTCATCCATAGGTTCTTGGAAATTGTGACTTTCAGGAAAAGAATGTATAATGAAACTAATTTTCCCATAGGTTAATTGATATAAACAAGACTTAAGCTCTTACAGCATATTTCTGGTCAGGAAAACATCACCAAACTTGTACATAAAGATCAAAACACTTCTAATATTAAACATTGAAATAAATGGGAACTATGCATACATTTAAGAAAGACTAATGATAAGTAAGATAATTATTTACCCGCTTATTTCAGTTCAGGGTCATGGGTGGTCAGATCCTATCCCTTGCAGCATGGGGCTCCAGGCAGACCTCCTTTGACAGGATGACATTCCCTTGAAAGGGGCACCCACACTCACTCACACTGGGACTGTTTAGTCATGCCAATGCACCTCTTTGGGATGTGGGAGGAAATCTGAGTGCCCAGAGAAAACCCACCTGAACATGGGGAGAACTTGTCAACTGTACCCAGACAGTGGTCTGACCAGGAAGCAATTTCTTCCCCCTTGATGGGGGGAAAAAATTAAAGTTGATCTTTATAACAAAATGACCTTGAATGAAACAATGTTATTAGAGGACCTGCTGTAAACACATGTGCTTCTGTATGTGTAAACACACAGTGGTGGTACAACGTAACTTCTATAAGACAATCTGTTAAAATTTAGGACATGAACACAGGGAGATTAGCTTCCTAGAGTTCTATAAGCATCAGAAAAATAAGAACTATTTTAAATAGTATCTACATTAAAAAATCTATTTCCTTCCCCTCACCAACATGAAAGAGAGGAACTAAAGAAAATCTATATGGATTGACATAAAAGAAAAAAAAAAGAGCTCTGCATGGGGAAAGGATAGTGTCTGTTTTGAGATGCAGGGATAGTTGAACTATATTTTCTTTTATTTTGTTTATTTGGGTTTTAAAAAATTTCTTAATGAAGCAATGCTATTTTAAAAATATATACAATTACATATATATCTACACGCAACACTCAAAATGAAGGAAAAAAATTCTGTTCAGAATGCCAAAAAGCAGCTGGGTATGAAGAATGCTTCATTTTATTATTTTCAAATATCCTTGACTTAAATAATGATTTATTTATTATTAAAAACTCTATTTGATGCAATAGGTTGATCGGCATTTCACTGAGCCAATTTTATTCTTAAATAAAAGGCTACCTCTGTGGCCCACTGAAGATTCACATCTTCTTTTGAGAGTGATTTTGTTCTAAATTTTCCTTGCTGCATAGAGTGTCATATTCTAACATTTTTTTCTGCAACCATCTGGCCTTGGTGTAAGAAATCAATTCCACAGCAGCCATCGAACTCTGGTGCACTGAAAGACATGTCCAAACTAAGCTTCTCTCAATATCTTTAGCACAACTGACCTTTTGTTCTTGAAGAAGCAGGCTCAGTTGGAACAAGAAGGAACTTGTCATGCCATTTCCCTGCTACAATATTCATTAGTTGGGGGCCGTGATCTTCTGCATCTCTACAGCAGATTCTTGTTAACAAGCCTCAAGTCAGCAATCTGCTATTTCCCCGTGCCTCTGTAATGTTTTATCAGGATAACTAATTCTTAAATGAGCATTTTCTCATGGCATATTCTCTTAACGCTTTCAGACACTGTTCTCTCCAACAGCTATCCTTTGAAGACAGGAACATCTATACACTATAGCAAGGCATTTCAGCACCCCTGGCACCCCACAGGCCAGCCCTCCCACCGTCACTACTGAGACACCGTCCAGGCACAGCAATTATTACAAAGTAGAAGTTTAGTCACCAGGAACCTGTGCAGCTCTGGGTTTGATGTGTTTAGCCAAGAAAAGTGGGTGAAGATCCTTCTTGAGTCAAATATTTTAGGAAGAACACCCTTTTTTTTCCTTATACTTAACAAATTATTTTGAAAAATGGCTCCAGGCTCTGTACAAGTATGTAAAAGAACATAAAAAGACAAATTTCAGGTCAATCTATACCTTAGTAAAAAGAGTATTGGTATTTTAGTATTACTATATATTTATATAATGCATATTATATCATAGTTTTCACTTATAGAGTTCTTCATATTATGTTCAAATAGGCTACATTAGGAGAAGAAGATAGGGACACATATGGGCTGAAGAAAGATAGATGATATGGTTTGGCTGTGTCGCCAACCGAATCTCATCTTGAATTGTAACTCCCACAATTCCCACGTGTCATAGGAGGAACCCGGTGGGAGGCGATTGAATTATGGGGGCAGGTCTTTCCTGCGCTGTTCTCATGATAGTGAATGAGTCTAACAAGATCTGATTGTTTTAAAAAGAGGATTTCCCCTGCACAAACTCTCTTCGCCTGTCGCCATCCATGTAAGATGCGACTTACTTCTCCTTGCCTTCCACCATTATTGGGAGGCCTCCCCAGCCACGTGAAACTATGAGTTCAATTAAACCTCTTTCTTTTGTAAATTACCCAGTCTTGGGTATGTCTTCATCAGCAGCATGAAAACGGACTAGTACAATAGCCTACCAAGAATAAGTTATGAGATTTTACAAGACAATTCAGCTGACAAAATAATGACCACATGATCAAGATGCCAAATACATAAGCATGATATCTTTGTTCTGGAATTTATCTGAGGGGAAAAATTGTGAAGTAATACACTTTCTCAAATCCATGAGACTGGAACTCGGAGTGTCTAAAGGTAGCCCTCTTGGAAGTAGATTTTATGTCATCAGATGTCCTATCGGTTTCATGAGGGTGCAGAACTAGTTGTTCTCTATTCCTATAATAACACCCTTCCTTCCTTCTATTTTTCTTTCTTGTCCACGTTTTGTGCCTGGATCTTCATTTATAAAGGTGACTGATTGATGCCATGGAAAGGCTAATCATCATAAAATATTTTTACTACTTATATCTCCCTAAAGACGGGGCATCCAATGCTATTCAGGGCCACAGGAGAAGCATCTGGTTTTGGTCAAGACAAGAAGTAAGATTGAGGGAGAAAACTAGGGCAGAGCCTCTACTGGGGTTTCTTCAGGAAAGACAGGGCAGGGCAGAATAAAGAACTTAAGGTTGGCCAATATGAATACAGTTGACAGGCTCTGGGCTACAGGGAGAGTCTCCAGTGGGCTGCTACCTCACTCTGGGTTGACTTAGGGCAGGGGACATACTGGTTTGGTGTGGGAGAACTAAATAAAGAGGGTAGTTGGAGGGTAGAGACTGCCGACTGGTTGGCTTGCATATGAAATTCATACTTCTGCAGAGCCCTTTACTACCTCGAAGAACTGAATAGTTCTGGTAGGGCATCAAGAATAAAGAATATAAGAAAATATAATTAACATAACAGACCCTGTGATGAATGGATGGCAAATAAACAAATATGAAGTCTAAGTAAACGTGGTTAAAACAACACATTTCTTGGAGTGGGTACGTAGACTAAGATTCAGAAACTCTGTTGATACATTTAAACTTCAACTAGTATAATCTAAAGTAGAGCTTGCCAATATTAGAAAAAAAAATGTCTGTTAATGAAGAACCAATTTCAATGAATCTGGAATAACCATTTTGGTCAGTCCTCCAAGATGAAGTCAAGAACCTTAAGGATTCTTTCCAGAAAGGAATAGGCTAACGTTGAGTTAATGACCAAAAGATGAAAAGGAACAAAGGGAGAGGAGAACAGGAAAGAGGATCAGAGGAAAATAAGCCTATTAAACATTGATCTTTTTTTGTTTGTTTGTTTTTGAAATGGAGTGTCACTCTGTCGCCCAGACTGCAGTGCAGTGGTGCGATCTCGGCTTGCTGCAACCTCTGCCTCCTGGGTTCATGCCATTCTCCTGCCTCAGCCTCCCAAGTAGCTGGGACTACAGGTGCCCACCACCACGCCTGGCTAATTTTTTGTATTTTTAGTAGAGATGGGGTTTCACTGTGTTAGCCAGCATGGTCTCGATCTCCTGACCTCGTGATCCGCCTGCCTCGGCCTCCCAAAGTGCTGGGATTACAGGCGTGAGCCACCACGCCCAGCCAAACATTGATCTTAAATAGAGTGAATGTACTCAAAGGTAATTCATGCTGTGCACCAACTTATGGACCATTTGTGTTCATGGTTAGCTAAAATCAAGAGTCTTCCTCCCAGTGATGGCTTGCCTATTGACACCCTCTCATGTGTTTGACATGCCTGTGGAGTTAAGGAAACAAAAAGGCATCTTTGAAAGAGTATTGTTATATATAGCCGTGTAGGCTGGACATAAGACCTCATGGGAAAGTCATGGTGACTGCTCCTTTTGTTCATCGATACTTTTAAAAGGTAGCAGTGTCACTGTGGAGGAAGATGTTCTAGCACAAACCTCTTTAAGTGTGTTAAGGAGATTCAAACTTCACTTGAAATATTGGACAAGATGGCCTCTACATTTCCTCTTCTTTATTAGACTTTTGACCTTATGTCAATACTTCTTACATAACAGTACAGGAAACTTTTTTTTTACTGGGGGCTAGAGGGAAACAGTTAAAATTCTGTGGGCTTCTGGGTCAATGGAGTAATAATTACAGCCAAGAACTATCCTATGTCAAAGGAAGAACTGTGAAAATGTCATCCAAGGGATTAAAAAATACATGTAATTGTTTCTCCTAAGAAAATGTCTTTAAGAGGAGGTTCCAAGATGGCCAAATAGGAACAGTTCCAGTCTACAGCTCCCAGCATGAGCGATGCAGAAGACAGGTGATTTCTGCATTTCCAACTGAGGTACCGGGTTGACCTCACTGGGGCTTGTTGGACAGTGGGTGCAGCCCACAGAGTGTGAGCCCAAGCAGTCTGGGACATTGCCTCACTGGGGAAGTGCAAGGGGTTGGGGAAATCCTTTTCCTAGCCAAGGGAAGCCAGGACAGATGGTACCTGGAAAATCGGGACACTCCCACCCTGATACTGTGCTTTTCCAACGGTCTTAGCAAACAGCACACGAGGAGATTATATCCCTCCCACGCCTGGCTCGGAGGGTCCCACGCCCATGGAGCCTTGCTCACTGCTAGCACAGCAGTCTGAGATTGAACTGCAAGTTGGCAGTGAGGCTGGGGGAGGGGCATCCGCCATTGCTGAGGCTTGAGTAGGTAGACAAAGCAGCCAGGAAGCTCAAACTGGGTGGAGCCCACAGCAGCTCAAGGAGACCTGCCTGCCTCTGTAGACTCCACCTCTGGGGGCAGGGCATAGCTGAACAAAAGGCAGCAGAAACTTCTGCAGACTTAAACGTCCCTGTCTGACAGCTTTGAAGAGAGTGGTGGTTCTCCCAGCATGGAGTTTGAGATCTGAGACCAGACAGACCGCCTCCTTAAGTGGGTCCCTGACCCCTGAGTAGCCTAACTTGGAGACACCTCCCAATAGAGGCCACATCATACAGCCGGGCGCCCCTCTGAGATGAAGCTTCCAGAGGAAGGATCAGGCAGCAGCATTTGCCGTTCTGCAATATTTGCTGTTCTGCAGCCTCCACTGGTGATACCCAGGCAAACAGGGTCTGGAGTGGACCTCCAGCAAACTCCAACAGACCTGCAGCTGAAGGTCTTGACTGTTAGAAGGAAAACTAACAAACAGAAAGGACATCCACACCAAAACCCGATCTGTACATCACCATCATCAAAGACCAAAGGTAGATAAAACCACAAAGATGGGGAGAAACCAGAGCAGAAAAGCAGAAAATTCTAAAAATCAGAGCACCTCTTCTCTTCCAAAGGAACTCAGCTCCTTGCCAGCAACAGAACAAAGCTGGATGGAGAATTACTTTGACTAGTTGAGAGAAGAAGGCTTCAGACGATCAGTAATAATAAACTTCTCCGAGCTAAAGGAGGATGTTCGAACCCATCGCAAAGAAGCTAAAAACCTTCCAAAGAGATTAGACGAATGGCTAACTAGAATAAACAGCATTGAGAAGACCTTAAATGTCCTGATGGAGGTGAAAACCATGGCACTAGAACTACATGACGCATGCACAAGCTTCAGTAGCTGATTCGATCAAGTGGAAGAAAGGGTATCAGTGATTGAAGATCAAATGAATGAAATGAAGCGGGAAGAGAAGTTTAGAGAAAAAAGAGTAAAAAGAAATGAACAAAGTCTACAAGAAATATGGGACTATGTGAAAAGACCAAATCTACGTCTGATTGGTGTACCTGAAAGTGGCGGGGAGAATGGAACCAAGTTGGAAAACACTCTGCAGGATATTATCCAAGAGAACTTCCCCAACCTACCAAGGGAGGCCAACATTCAAATTCAGGAAATACAGAGAACGCCACAAAGATATTCCTCAAGAAGAGCAACTCCAAGACACATAATTGTCACATTCACCAAATTATAAATCATGCTGCTATAAAGACACATGCACATGTATGTTTATTGCGGCACTATTCACAGTAGCAAAGACTTGGAACCAACTCAAATGTCCATCAATAATAGACTGGATTAAGACAATGTGTCACATATACACCATGGCAGCCATAAAAAAGGACGAGTTCATGTCCTTTGTAGGGACATGGATGAAGCTGGAAACCATCATTCTGAGCAAACTATCACAAGTACAGAAAACCAAACACTCCATGTTCTCACTCATAGGTGGGAATTGAACAATGAGAACACTTGGACACAGGGTGGGGAACATCATACACTGGGGCCTGTCATGGGGGGAGTGGGGAGGGATAGCATTAGGAGATATACCTAATGTAAATGACGAGTTAGTGGGTGCAGCACACCAACATGGCACATGTATACATATGTAATAAACCTACACGTTGTGCACATGTACCCTAGAACTTAAAATATAATTTAAAAAAAAAGCTTTAGATCAGAAAAAAAATAGAAAATGTCTTTAATTTCATCCAGCTCTGTTAATTTCCAAAGACAGCTAAATTCCACCAGAATCAGTAATGCCCAGCAGCTGGTTAAGGGTGGAGTTAAGTGTCTCACTACCTATAAAATGTGTCTTCTTATTATGTCTCAGGAAAGCAATGTGATACTTCTAATTTAATCAAAACTAATCAGAGTTTGTTCCTCCTCATTAAGAGAAGCTAGGTCCTTTTGGGGCTACAGCTCTTTGAATTAATCTGGTATTTGGGTTTTCATACTAGAAATAAAAATCCTAAAATGGCAAGTGGTATATGTATATTTTTTAAGGATATAAGAACTATTAGCAATTGATGTAAATTTTCACTGAACATACTTGGATTTTTTTCTTCTAATGCTACATAATAAGTATAATTTTACCTAATGGAAAGTAGTTTCGTGCTCACAAAATTTCAGCCTAGAAGTAAAAACTAGACATGGGACAGAATCCAAAACCCGGCTACCTGCTGTTAAAGAAAAATTACACCAAGGAAGACATTTTATTCAACCCACCAATTACACGCAAAGGATTTGGGCCAGATAATTCCTGTCTGAATTAAGTAAGTGAATATGACAGGCCACATTCAGACATAATATTTTTCTTTTAAAAAATAATAATAATAGTTACTTAAATTTCCATAACTTGGAAATTCTGATAGCATTGCCCAAGAAAAATGAAGAAAAAGTAAAACCACCTTTGCAAATGTTATGACAGTGAGAGAAAGTTAACATGGCTGACTCTGTCTCACTTCTAGCCTCAGGCTGGCTATCTTCACTCATTCCTGGGTTTGGGCCAAGCTAACAATGGGAGGAACTTACTTTATAGTTTAACTTTAAAGCAAAGTTATAGTAACCCTTCTCAAAACTAAACTACATTTGTAAAGCAAATGAAAGGCTACAAGGTAGAATTATAAGAAGGGCCTGAATTCTGCTAAGATACATGCTTAAATGATAGCCAGTCATTCTTCTGAAGGTCACAAGATTTGCAACTTCCCCAACTAATCCTGGAGATAACACCACTATTGTAGAAACTAAGATTGGCCTTTTGAGACGACTTTTAGACTTTCACATTTCTGGTCACTGACTGACTCTACCCAAAACCACCACCCATGACCCAACTGGTCCTAGGGCCCCCACCCAGAGGCTGACTCAGCGCATGAGGACTATTCTCCATACCTCTGTGATCTCATTTCCAACCAATCAACATTCCCCACTAATTCCCTAGTCACCTGCCCACCAAATTCTTCTTGAACAACCCTCCAAACCTTTGGCGAGATTGATTTGAGCAATATTATGCTATCTTTCACATAACTACCCTAGTGTCAATTACATTTTTTAATGCAATACCAGAGTCCTGGTAATTTGGTTTTGTCTGTGCAGTGGACAGTGAGAAATCTTTTGGAGACTATTAACCTGAGGACTCATCTGGAGTCACCCCTTGCGGGTGCCTGCCAACACTTTGTCAGCCACCACAGAATAACAGACCTGGAGGTGAACTCTGGCAGTTGCTTATTTTTAACGAGCTGATGGGCCATCTCTGGCTCTGTCCATACCGGCACTGTCAACCCATGGTTCCTGGGCCTAATTTCAGTGGAAAGAAAGTTCCTGGAAAATGTCTTTAAACCAGTCTAGTGAATATTCTAGGCACAGTCAATACCCCCTTCCTTCTTCTGATCTGTTGGCTTTTCTGGAGTACTGTAGACTCATCCCGGGACTGTTCACCTCTCCCTGGATTTCAGCAAGAATCTAAGGCTAGGGAGATTTCTCCCCACTTAGAGCAGAAAAAGGGGGCCTGTTTGGAAGAATACTCTTCTGGATTGGAATCTGGTCTGGGATCTTGGTTTGGAATGCCTTTTGCGTGTTTTCACTTTGTTGTGTGAGCTTATATGTATAAAGGAGATCTCTGAAGAAATTGCTGATGGACATCCAGCAGACTCTCCTACTTGTCTGATCAGTCACATTTGGTGAGCCCTGAAGGAAGTGTTAGCAGAAGCTAGCTCAGGGTGACCTTCAGCTTTTCCATTTTGCCCACAGACCACCCATTTAAACTCCCGGTTGGAGGTCATCCCTCCAAACCTTGAATAGATCAAAGATGCCAAGGACCAACAAGGACAAGTTTGAGCCTTGCTACATTGATACCTGGGCACCGAGCAGGGTGATTAGTGTCTGTGTTTTGTCATGTGTATATCACTCTGGCAGGAATGGGGAATGATAACTCAGTTCCCTCAGGCAGACTGTTGGGCTGCAACTTGCAAAACTGGAATGTTTTTGCCTATGGTTCCATAAAAAAGAAAAAGAACCATTTTTTTGTAATGTGGCTTGGATCCCACAGCTATGGTGCAGCGCACAGAGTTATCAAAAGCAGATTTGCTCTTCTGGAAGCTGCAGAGAAAGGGAACCCAGAAACCTGGCAAGCTAGCAAAAGGATAATATTTCTTACCAGCAGGGCTTTTGACCTCTCTCTCCCTCTCTCTCTCTCTGTGCAAGCCAGTTGAGTGAATGGTAAAAATTACTGATTGTCTCCTATATAAGGTTATGACTAGTGGGAAGATGGATTTATGACACTAGTCTGAGGCTGTAGTGAATCTGGTGTACATTGTGTTATGAATTTGCCTTTCTGTGTTGTTTTGTCATAAAGAGAGTTACCATAAGATAAAATGTGGGCCTATGTTCTCCATGAGCCTACTGTTCAAGCCAGCCCTGCAGACTGCTCAGTTACAACTTTGCTGAAGGGTCCTGAACAAAAACTGAATGAGGTTTCCCTCTCATCTTGCTTTATGTCCTTGGGAGCTTGATTGGTGACCATGTGGAGGTCCTCTTTCTCAGACTCTGCCATTAGGAGGGCAAGAATTTTCAGGTTCCTATCAGGTGGCCAGTCTGAAAGGACTGAGGTCTGAGGTCTTTCTTTCTCTCTTTCTCTCTCTCTCTCTCTCTCTCTGCCTTTCTCCCTTCCTCTCTCTCTCTCTCTCTCTCTATCTCTCTGTCGCAGAGTCTCCCTCTGTTACCGAGAAAGCTCACTCTTTTACCCAAACGTGTCAAGCCTTTGAATGCATTTTGTCTTACAATTTCTGACGGAATTCTTGGGGATCATGGGGACACCTCTTCTACTCCCTCTTTAGAAGTATCTCTTCCTTATGCGGTAAAAACCTGGAAAAGTACCATTTGGTCTTTAAAAAGGCTTTTAGATTGAGTCACTATTGGAAGTATACTATTGAAATAAAAAGGATTTTAGAGATCTTATTTTCCACAATTGAAATAAAAGGTTTGAATTAATAGGAAGATGCCTAATAATGTCATAGCTAGCCTTAGAAAGTTCTCTTGAGCAGTCAAAATCCTTTTGCAAGCTCGAAAACGGCTACCCTAGACTCCTTCTGGCAAGGTCAATGGCACCTGCCCATGCTATAGCACAGCAGCTAAGGCTTTGCCCTTTCATCATGCTGACCAGGGTTCAATTCCTGGTTTAAGGAATGAGTTCCTTCTGGTTTGATAGTTGTGAGACTTTTGTCATTTATTATTTTTCCCTCCATGGATAGCTTCTAATTTCCTCTCTTGAATTTCTTTCTCTGAGCTACCTTTTGGGTGATTCTAGATCCTGTAAAAACCTCTTTCCATCTCTGCCCACACCTTCTGCATCTGTAGTTAAGTCATAACTTAAGACTTATTGATTTCACTTGGGAAAATATGTTTGAGGAAAAGAAAAGGTGTAAAAGTCAGAGGTGTTGGCTGTTTGTCCCCACTAGTGTCTATTAATAACAGATTTGGAAGGATTTTTTTAAAAAGAGCTCCATGGTTTAAAAACAAGCTTAATTAAAAGCTGATATCCAAGTCATATAGATGTATAAGCTTTTTGATTAACTATAAATAAATAAATATTTTAAAATATATAAGCAGATATATATTTTAAATATATATACATACATCAATATTTAAGTATTTAAAAAGCTTTTATGATTTTTCTCTAATTTTTTTTTGAAAAAAAAATTTCTTTTTCCTTCCCAATTCACTGAATTCTGTTTCTCTATTTACTTCTGTTTATCTTCTTGCCACCATCAATACCCATATGAGAGAACCCAAGGGAATTTCTGATAGCCTGGGACACCTTGGGAAAAAAAAGAGAGGTACCACAGACTCCAGTTTTAGAGTAACCTCTGTTTTCCTTATGGAACCCCAAGAGTTGTAAGTGGAGAGATGCCTCTCAAAATCTAAGGCTCTGCTTTCTTTGCATTGCCTTGCCTGATCTTTTTGAATTTTGGGTACAACAGAAGCTACTTTGCATTAGAAGAGAACTTTTAGCCTTGGTATATAAAGGCTACATGAGAGATACACTTTTAGGGATGGTTAATGGCAGTGATAAGGGGGATACTCAGTTCTTTTTGTGTTTGGATAAACACAGCACACTCTTAGGCACCTAGAGGGTATGGGATGGGGAATGGACTGACTGATTCAAGAGTGGTCTGATAGGTGCTGGGTTGCCCGGCAGCCTCAAGGAAGTGGTCTTACAACGAACTATACTGTAGTCTCTCATCCCCTAGCATTACTTTCTCTTTGGGGACCCAGGATTTAGTATAAAAATGGGACCCTTGATTTGGGGGCATGTGTTCTGCCTTCCAGCTACCCCTGCCTATTAAGACCTAGAAACTGAATGCTTCTGCCTTCCAGCTACCCCTGCCTGTTAGGACCTAGAAACTGAATGCTTTCTTGGCCCTGTTACTTAAAAGACTCCACCCTATATCCAGTAATTCAATTAAGAAAGTTACATCTGTAAGGAAATCTCCATGTGTAAGGGTGTCTGCTTTTCCTGGTCTTCTTAATTGAACTTTTACTCACACCATTTTTCCTTGGTTTGGGTAAAATATGAATTTTGTATCTTGTTTCACCTAAGAATTGTCTCTTTAGAAATACAAATTTAGAGTTGTCCAGCTGGGAATTGTTTAGGGCAGAGAACAGGTAATCAAGAAACTGATGGTCTAAATTAGGGAATAGAAACTTAAAAACTGGGCAAATGAGGAATCTTCCAACTTCCACCAGATCTGCTTCTGTCTGGGTATTTATATGTGTCATGTGTGTGCTGTTTCACTACCAAAATATATGAAAGAGATCTAATTAATTGGCTTAAAAGAAAAAGCAAGTGCTTAAATCACATATTTTCACACAAAAATATAAATTTTAATGCCTTTCAGTTCATGTGACTTTAGTAACATTGGTGAAACAAAATAAAAATGTCTTCAGAATTTAGAAACTGAATTAGGCAGGGCAGATACTGTCTTTGCTAGATATTTTAAAGTTATAACTGTTTCTATGACTTTTTTTGATAATTGTTTGACTTTTCTGTTTTACTGCCATTAAATTATAGGTAAAGTCAGGGGACATTTGTAGTTAGCCATGTCCCCTGGTTATGCTGAAAAGAACCAGAGACATTCTCTGAAGCTCTGTCCCTATCCTGTGCTCTGCATCTCATACGCAGTGTTATTGTTTACTTACCAGGTTTTTCACTAAAAATAAAAGTTGCTGGGAGTTTGCATTGTAACATATGTAGTGAGACTACTAGAGGAACAGTTCTACATGCAAAGTATATAAAGAAAAGAAAATGTGTTTTGAGAAAAGGTTACAAGAAGCCATGGAAATATGGCTTTTTTTTTTTTAAGGAAAAGGAATTTTATCTCGTTTAGAAGTTTTAAAGATTGCCTTAAATTAAAAAATAATAAGACAAAACTGAAGGTTTAATCAAGTTATAGAAGATTTATGAAAGATCTTGTAAAAGAAGTTCTATCAGTGTGAGCAAGTTAGCCAAGGAGGTTATTTAGTTTTTCTATAAATCAAATATTAAAATAAAAACTACACTGATGCAGGGCCAGAATCTGGGGTCATGTATCAAAATAACAGGTGTTTTTCTTTCTTTCTTTCTTTCTTTCTTTTTTTTTTTTTTTTTTTGCACTGATCTGCTCTGTAATAAAAAATTGTGGAGTTGTAAAAGGTTTATGGAAATCTTACCTTATGGTCAAACTGATTAAGATCGGATAGATTATATATAAGGTTTTATGAAAAATTGGGTTTAACATTATACTAATGCTAAGGAGAAATTTGGTTTTCCCATTTGAATAAGATTGTAACATGGAGAATATTGACAGATAATGACAGATTTTTGTTTTAAGTGTTTTTTTTTTTTTTTTTTTTTTTGAGACAGAGTCTCGGCCTGTCGCCCAGGCTGGAGTTCAGTGGCGCGATCTCGGTTCACTTCAACCTCTGCCTCCCAAGTTCAAGCGATTCTCCTGCCTCAGCCTCCTAAGCAGCTGGGACTACAGGCATGCGCCACCACTACAGGCATGCACCACCATACCTGTCTATTTTATTTTTTGTATTTTTGGTAGAGATGGAGTTTCACCCTGTTGCCCAAACTGGTCTCGAACTCCTGGGCTCAAGCATTCCTCTTGTCTCAGCCTCAAAAAGTGCTAGGATTACAGGCATGAGCCAGTGCACTCGGCCTTTGTTTGCCTTTTAGGTAAACTACAGAGAAAAGAAAAGAGGGAAAAGAGAAAAGAAAGATTCTATTGGCCTCATGCTATCTTTATTGGGTCTTCTTGTTTGAAACACTGAGACTTCTCTCTGTCAGAGCAAAGGTTTTTGTCTTTTTGACATTTTTTGAGATATTATTTCAGCTATATGAGTCACCTGTTCCTATATTGTAATATCAAGTATTTTAAAATTTGATATATGACAAACCTTCCAAAATCAAAATTTCAAGTTCCAAATTCAGTCCTTTTAACTTCATTTACCTTTTTTTTTAGCTATTAGGTCCCCTGAAGCCTAAAAGAGTTATGCTTGATTCATTTCATGTGTTAAATTCATACAGAGAGCAATGTCAAGTATAGGATGGTGTTTGACTTTTTTGGGGGATGTATTTGTATAAATGTGCTATTGATGTATGTTCCAGAATTGTGTGAGACTCCAATAATTTTATTTGACTTTGTATATATTATTAGGAATAACTATGATTATTAGGGTAAATTGTTGTATGCCAGAAAAATAAGCAAATTTTTTTTTGTCAATTGTGTTATTAACCATAGGTGGCCTGAGACTGTTACCATCCACAATTGTTGTTTTACTTTGATCCTTTTCAAAAGATAGTTATATTGTCAGCTATAGAACTCTGACAGGTAGTCTTGAATGCAGGTGTCTGATAAGTTTGTAAAGATTATGCCATTGGAATAGAGGGAAAAACTTCCAGGACTCTCATGGACAGCTAATGTGTTCATGAATACTGAGCAGAACAGGAGTTAACTGCATGGGCTGAACTAATAAAAGATTGAAATAATATTTTTACAATTCTTTGCCTGAAGTGTTGCTGATACTTTTTGTTTCATCTTTCAGAGTCAAGAAAACTTTTATTTTCAGCTATTTACAGCTTTTAACCATTGAGTAAAGTATACTTGTGGGCAAAATGTAAAACACATTTTTTTCTCTCTATTTGATTTCTCAAGAATTTGAAAATCATTTGTGAGTATTCTTACTTTACAGCAATATAGTTATTTGTATAAGTTCAATAAGAATTTGTTTTCATTTCTAACAGGATAAAATTGGAGACAAAGTTTATGTTAACCAAGGCTTTGACTGGAATTACAGGTTTCCCACTGCTTTGAGGAATTGATGTTGACTTAGAGAGATGATAATAGCCCCTTAGAGAAACTGGCCTTGTACCTTGTCCCATACAGGTTTCCTGACCTGTGGTAAGTAAGAATTGTTACTTTCTGAGAGGCCTAGGAACCCCAAGTTGTTTTGGGACCTCAAGAAGAGAGAAATTCACCCAATTCATGTAAGTATCTACAGACATAAATAAAGCTTCTTTTGGGCTCAAGAGGCTTTTAAAAGGTCTAATCTGAGATTTCATATGAAGAAAAATCCAGCACAGCCAATTTAGAACAAAAAAGCTAATATGGCAAGTAATTATTCTTGCTGAATTTTATGCAAATAATCAGGCCATATATAATAAGGCTGGAACTTATTTTGCAAATAAATGGGTTCTACTGCAATTTGTCTTTGGTAAAAATGAGGAGCTGGAGAGACAAAAATTATATTTCAGACAAAACGTATAGTACACTTGTTGTTGTCCATTGTTTATGCGTTTCAGCTGATGACACTGTATCTGATTGGTTCTCAAGGTCATTCACTTGAACCCCTCAAGGCTTCAGGTCAGTTCTACAGGGACTACTGAAACTAGGACATTTGCTATTCATAATAGTTCTCATTATTTGTCTTATAGTCTGCTGTTCACTTACGTGCTGTACTAAATCTGTGCTTAAAATACTAATGTTTTCGTTATGCAGACTTTGGGATCCCAGCCAGGCACTCATGAATACATAAAGACAACTAAAAAACCAGTTTCACTCCTCTTATCCTGGGAGCATCCCTGATTCGGTTTAGATCTGTGTCCCCATCCAAATTTTATGTCAAGTTGTAATCCTTAATGTTGGAAGTGGGGCCTGGTGGGAGGTGATTGGATCATGGGAGTGGGTCTTTCATGAATGGTTTAGCACCATCTCCTTGGTGCTATTCTCATGTTAGTGACTTCTCACAAAATTGGTTTGTTTAAACGTATGCGGCACCTCCCCCTTCTCTCTCCCTCCTGCTCTGGCCATGTAAGACTGGCCTGCTTCCCCTACACCTTCCACCATGATTGTAAGTTTCCTGAGGCTTCCCTAAAAGCTGAGTAGATGCTGCCAAGCTTCCTGCACAGCCCGTGGAACCATGAGCCAATTAAACCTCTTTTCTTAATAAATTTCCCAGTCTCAGGTATTTCTTTTTGGCAATGAGAATGGACTAATACAAAACCCTACCCCTATTATGCTATCTGTCAACAGGGAAAAAGTTAGAGTGATTGTTGGCCTTTTCCCACCTCCATAACTCACACCTCAGGATTAGAGTGTGCTGAAAATTAAGGGGAGATTGAAATTGCCTTTGCAAAGATTATGACAGTGAGAGAAATCTACCATGGCTGACTCTATCTTGCTTCTAGCCTCACAGGCTGGCTGTCTTCACTAAGCTAACCACCAGAGGAACTTATTTTATAGTTTAACTATAAAGCAAGGATGATGATAGAAGCCCTTTCCCAAACCAAAATGCCTTTGTAAAACTAACAAAAGGTCACCAGGTAGAATTATGAGAGGGGCCTGAACTCTGCTAAGTTACAGGCATAGTTAGCAGATAACCAACCATTGTTGTGGAGGTCACAAGAATTGTAACTTCCCCCAGTTACTCCTGTAGATTGCATCACTATTGTAATATCTAAGATTGGCCTTTTGAGATACTTTTCAAACTTTTGCATTTTTAGTGACTGGCTGACTCCACCCAGACCCACCATTCAAGACTCAGGTGGTCCTATGACCTTCACCCTGAGGCTGACTGAGTGCAAGAGGGCTGTTTTCAACACTTCCATTATTTTACCTCAACAAATCAATCCCCATTCCTAGCCAACTGCCCACCAAACTACTCTTGAAACACTCTAACCTCCAAGCCTTCAGGGAGAATGACTTGAGTGATAACTCAATCTTTACATGGCTAGCATAGAGTTAATTAAACTCTTTACTGCAATAGTGAACTGGTTTTGTTGATGAAGTGGGCAGGAAGAACACGTTGATTACAAAAGAATGGTGATATCGTTTGGATGTCCTCTCTAAATCTCATATTGAGATGTAATCCCCAGTGCTGGAGGTGGGGACTGGTGGGAGGTGTTTGGATCATGAGGACAAATCTATCATGGCTTTTTGCTGTCCTCATAGTAGTATGTTCTCACAAGATCTGGTTGTTTAAAGTGTGTGGCAAATCCTTCACTCTCTCTCTCTCTTGCTCCTGCCCTAGTCATGTGACATTCCTGCTACTTCACCTTCTGCCATAAGTAAAAGCTCCCTGAGGCTTCCCCAGAAGCCAAGCAAATACTAGCACTTGCTTCCTATACAGCCTGCAGAACAGTGAGCCAATTAAATCTTTTTTCTTTATAAATTACCCCATATCAGATATTTCTTTACAGGAATGCAAGAATGGTGTAACATAGATGGGTTTCCCAAGTGTTATTTGTATTTTTCTTTACTTCATCATTATTCAATTTTTTTTATCTTAGCCTCTTCCTGCAAATAACTTGGAAATAAAAAATGTAAGGGAAATAACATGAAATCATTCAATCATTCATTTACCAAGAAACACTTGTTATGTCTGAGATAGTTTAGTAAAGCACTATATCATTTAAAATTCAAAACTTTGCACAGTAATTTTTTTTTTACCATTTTTTTCTTTTGAGGATGAAGAAATTAAAAGGTTAACTCACTAGTTCAAGGTCACACTATTGTGTAGAGTAGCCAGAATTTAAACCAAGGTCTGTCAGCCTCTAACCTTTTACCACAGCTGCTAATGAGTTTCTTTAAATCTCTCTTTGAAAAAAGAAAGGTGAAAACAAAAAAGAGGTCAGAGAGGAGAAAGAATATAAAAGCATATTACAACCTTGTGACCTTGTAGTTTATTTCTCATCCAGCACAGAATCCCTCAGTAATTCTAAAACAATTATTCTGTAGTTAACTGAAGCTAATGCCTAAGTTTAAAAGTACCTTACTGATAATTATGTTCTATTTTAGTCTCCTTGGTCCTTTCTTAAGCATAGCCGGGAAAACTTAAGCTGCTGTTGATGAAATAGCCCCATATAAAATTATCTTCTAGCCCTAGACTTTATCATGGTCATTTAAAAAGAGATGTATTTGAAGAAATAAATGAATATCTTTAATATTTTGTTTCCAGTTCTCATCTGATGTCTGGCCCCACTAGCTGGCCTACATCCTGAGGCATTGTTCTGCTTAAATACATTCTAAAGAAACTTTATAACTTTCTCTACTGCTTCACTTCACCATGCATTTGATGAAACATGGACTTATGACCATACCATTGCCTGGTATATTTTCCTATAGAAGATAATAATGACATGCCTTCCAGGTAAAACTCTGGAAGGGCTGTATATTATGAGTTTCCAATCTTGAATATGATCACAATGTTGGAGGGTGAGAGCCATCTTCTTATTAGAGACATGTAGATGGATGTAGCCATTAACATTGGGAATCTTAGAACCCAGTCCTGCTGCTTTCTATTTGTGCAGTCTTGGACAAACTGTTTCATATGTTGAGGTATGTTTTTCCATCTATTAAATTAGGTTAACAACATGTATATATTACATTTTGTGAAGTTTAAAATGATGGTTTGTATGCAAAACAGTACAGTATGGTTCATAAAAGCTTACACTTTGGAAACTGAATCTCGAGTTTTGAATTCTGGCTTCTATTTGCTCTTTGCAGTTGGGCAAGTTATTTAACACTTCCATGCCTCAGCTCATTATATGTAAAATTAGAATAATATCACCTATTTCAAAGGGTAGGTGGACAATTGAATAATTCTTTAACAGAAGCAAAAGATGGATAATACTACCTTTATGTTAGTGTTACAGAGTATTAAGTATGATTGCTATATTCAGGATAAATGCAAGTCTGTGTGTGAATTCAGAGAAGCACTATTAAGAAGAGGACAGTTAAGATTTGAGTTCTGGTTGTCATTTAGAGTGGTTGTTTGGGGAATGATATAATCTTTTTTTAATAATACAGGTAAAACATTGAAGTCTGGAAAGCAAAACTTCAAGTTGACATGGTGAATATCCTATTAGGAAGATGGGGGCAGTTTCTGTGCTATTTCATTTACGCATGGCCTTAAAAGATCTGTGCTATAACTTCTCTAATCCAAGGTATCTATATTGATTGCATATTTCATAAACACCATACACCCACTGCTTAGAAGTCTCTCAATAGCTTCTCATTTCTCTTAGGGTAAAGGTCAGAATACTCAGTGTTGCCTACACAAGTCTCAACACAATGGACGTGGCTCTATAGCTCCACCTTTATAATGCTCTTTTGCTTTCTGTGCTTCAGCTGCTGTCCTTCTGAAAGTTCTCTAAGGACTCCATGTGACCTCTTCTACAGAGCCCTTGCTTGTGCTGTTCCCTTTTCTCTATTTTGCCTACTTATCTTTATTAACCATATTTCAGATCAAGTATTATTTCATGAGATAAGCTTTCCCGGATATTCAAGATAAAGCTGAAGTCCTTTGTGTCCTTATTAAATGGTGTGCCTTTTCTTCTTAGCAATCACCATTGCTAGAAATGATCATTTTGGGTGATAGTTGGATTTACATAAATTTCACCAGTTAGATTCTAAGTTATCTAAAGGCAGACACTCTTAAGTTTGTTTCCTCAACATTATCATTTCATTGTTTTCTTATAGTGGATATGTCAATGAATAAAGGAATTAATATATAAATATATATAAACACATACACAAATGTACATGTTCACATGATACAGACATTTGTATGTATGTGTACATATATACGCACATCAATCTTAAAGCATGTAGGATTCATTATTAGCAAATGTATTAATTCATTTCACGGGTGTTTGTGTATGTATTGATTGCTCAACAGAGGCCCGAAATTCCTCCACTTTTGAGGAATACAGTCATGAGCAAAAGGGAAAATCTCAGTGCTAGGCTTAGCACATGGGTGGTAGAAAGGGTAAGGGCTGATTTCCACCTTTGGGTGGTGCCAGTTCACACCTCAGTGGTCCTTGGACTGGTGGATGTGGCAGGCGAGGCAGATGGACAGTGTGCAAGAAAGACAGAAAGACACATGTTGGGGTGGGCTGGCAAGTGCCTAGTTCTAGTTGCCTGGTGATGCCTCACACTTGGATGTGCCCAGGCCATCACAGGCCATATGCACTGGTGTGCAGCAGAGTCAGCTGAGTCACTGGGCAGTGTATGGAGGGAAGAGGCAGAGGGAGTGTGGTTGACAGGTGGACAGGGTGCTTAGCTTGGCCCAATCGCAGGTGACCTGAGCACTTTATGAGCAGATGCGGGTTTGGGTAGAGGTAACAAGCCGCATGCTGGGTGACAACTGACTTGCCGTGAGGAGATGGGGAGGCTCAGAGTGTATGGGCAGTCCCTGTGCCATTGAGTTCTCCTGCACTGATTCCTGGACACCTCAAGGAAGGATACAAACTATTTCTTGGAAAAGATCTATTCTGGAGATGAGTCCGGATGGTCAACTAGACACAGTCTGGAAGACCTTCTTCTACTGAGAGACCAGCCCATCAAGAGGATGGGCAAACTCTGAGCAGACTATCACAAGAAAGGCATTGAGAGTGGATAGAGAGGGGATCTAGACCCTGGATGTAAAGGAGAGGAAGCTTGGAACCCTGCATATGATTGCCAAGCACCAGAACTCATTCCTGTCCCTGAGTGGCTCTTAGGAAGAAATGAATTAAAGAGGCATGGAGTGGCCCACTCTCACTGTGTACCTCTGAAATCCTAGCTGTAGGAGCCTTCACAGCTCCCATAGACATTTCAGCTGTCAGGGAGAGCTGCCAGGAGAGGTGGCAGGGACAAGATTCTGATCTATGCAGAGCCTGGAGGGTTTGGCATGGGAAGAGCAGCAGTGGAGCATGGCTATGGCCGTCCATCCCCAAGGCTTGTCCTGATCCTCTAGGTGGCTTTGACCTTTGTTGACTATTTGACCTGGACAGAGTTGGGATGTCTTGCCCATTGGACAAGGTCAGTCAAATCTGAGCACTCCCCTGTCTGCTGGCCTCTCCTGGGGTCCCTGCCTGGATGCACCCACTTGTAGCACATCCTTGCATGCCCAACCAGGGCACTTTTCAGTGGTCACCACCATAGCTCCTTTGCCAAGAGACTCTGCTTAACCATCAGACAGCTTCAGCAGATGGGTACCTTCCAGCACATACTTGCCCACAGCCTCCCCTTTCTAACTTGCTCACATGCATGCACAGGAACCTACCACTGCCCTGCTCTTGTCAGCACATACATACAGACCCCATGTCCTACCTGCTGCCAAAGCATGGGTGTACGTAGATCCCAGTGTGCTGCCACCCTACCACTACTGGCCCGTGTGTGTGTATATGTGCAGACCCCATGGCCACAGCCCTGACAAAAAGGTTTTGCTGGCACTCCCCCATTGAAGTGTTGTTGCCAGCAAACCAGGACCACCTTGGCTCCTCTAGCATAGCAGGTGCTTAACTTTAGGGGCCAGAGAATGAATCTGTGGGCCTGATCCCAGCCACTCAGGGTAAGATCATGCAGTTCAGAAATTCTGAGCTGAGCCTTAGGCCCCTGAAATTGACCAGAAATGAAACTGACTGAATACACCCAACTTACACCACACTTAAACCCTCAAGGGCATCAAAGAATATAAAATCAAAAAGTCCCATTCAAAGAACAGATACTTCAAAGGTTAAAGGAACATTAGCCCACACAGATGAGAAAGAGCTCATGCACGAACTCTAGCAACTCAAAAAGCCAGAGTGTCTTCTTACCTCCAAATGACTGCACTAGCTCCCCAGCAACGGTTCTTAACTAGGCTGGAATGCCTGAAATGACACACATAGAATTCAGAACCTGGATGACGATGACTGTCATCAGGATTCAGGAGAAAGTTGAAACCCAATCCAAGGAATATAAGGAATCCAGTAAAATGATACAAGAGCTGAAAGAAGTAGACATTTTAAGAAAGAAACAAATTGATCTGATAGAGCTTAAAAAAAAATCTCACTACAAACATTTTATAATACAATCATAAGTATTAATAGACCAAGCTGAGGAAAGAATCTCAGAGCTTGAAGGCTGGTTCTTTGAATTGACACAGCCACACAAAAATAATGGAAAAAAAAGATAAAAAAGAATTAATAGACATCCATGAATATATGGGATTATATAAAGAGACCAAACCTATGATTCATTGACATCCCTAATAGAGAGCAAGAGAGAGCAAGCAAATTTGAAAACATATTTGAGCATATTGTCCACAAAAAATTTTCCAATCTAGCAAGAGAGGTTGACACTCAAATGCAGGAAATTCAGAGAACCACTCAGTGATACTATACAAGATGACCATCCCCATGACACATAGTCATCAGATTCTCTAAGTGAATGTGAAAGAAAAAATATTAAAGGCAGCTAGAGAGAAGAGGCAGGTCACCTACAAAGGGAACTCCATCAGGCTAGGAGTGAAACTTTCAACAGAAACCCTACAAGACAGGAGAGATTAGGAGCCTGTCATCAGCATTCTCGAATAGAAACTCCAATCAAAAACGTAATATCCAGCCAAACTACGTTTAATAAAAAAAGGAGAAATAAATTTGCTTATCTGAAAATAAATTATTTTCAGATAAGCAAATGTTAAACAAATTTATTACCACCAGACCTACCACATAAGAGGTCCTTAAGGGAGTGGTAAACATAGAAATGAAAGACCGTTTCTGGCCACCAAAAAAAATACACTTAAGTACATAGGTCATTGATGCCATAAAGCCCCTATACAGTAAAGTCTACATAACAACCAGCTGACAACACACAGAAGCTCAAAGTAAAGGTATAGGGAAAAACCTATCAAGGAAACAAAAAACAAAAAAGAGCAGGGGTGGCTATTCTAATTTCAGACAAAACAGACTTTAAATGAACAATCATCCAAAGAACAAAGAAGGGTATTAAATAATATTAATGTGTTCAATTCAATAAGAAGACTTAACTATCTTGAATATATATGGACCCAACATGGGAGCACACAGATTTATAAAGTAAGCTTTCAATACCTATGAAGAGACTTAGATAACCACACAACAATAGTGGGAGACTTCAATATCTTGCTAACAGTATTAGACAAATCATTGAAGCAAAAAACTTAGAAAAATATTTGGGACATAAACTTGACATTTTACCAAATGAGCCTAAAAGACATCTACAGAATACTGCACCCAACATCAACAGAACACATATTCTTCTTGTTTGCACATGGTACATACTCTAAAATCAACCACACACTTAGCCATAAAGAGATTCTCAACAAATACAAGAAAACAAAAAGCACACCGATCACACTCTCAGATAAAATAATAAAAATAAATGAAAATAGCTCAATAAAAATGGCAATTAATACCAAGAAGATTCCTTGAAATTTCACAATTAAATGGAAATTAAACCACCTATTCCTGTATGACTTTTGGGTAAAAAATGAAATTAAGGCAGACATCAAGAATTTCTTTGAAATGAAGCAAACACAGATAAAACATACCATAATCTCTGGGACCTAGCTAAAGCAGTGAAAAGTTTATAATGCTAAATGGCTATATCACAAAGTTAGAAAGATTTCAAATTAACAATAGAACACTATACCTAGAGGAGCTCAAAAACCAGAGCAAACCCATCTCAAATCTAGCAGAAGAAAAGAAATAACCAAAGTCAGAGCTGAACTCAATAAAATTGAGACACAAAAACCCATTCAAAAGATCACCAAAACTAAATGTTTTCTACTTGAAAGAATAAATAAGATTAATAGAGTGCTAGCTAGACTAATTAAGAAAAAAATAAAAAAGATTCAAATACGCAGTATCAGAAATGAAAGAGGACATTACCACTGACCCTACAGAAATACAAAAAGAAGTCTCAGAGACTATTACAAACACCTCTATCCATACAAACCAGAAAACGTGAAGAAATGAATAAATTCCTGGAAACATACAACTTCTCTAGATTAAACCAGGAAGAAATTGAAACCCTGAACAGACCCATAAGGAATTTCAAAATTGAATAATTAATAAAAAGCCTACTAAGGAGAAACAGCACTGGTTCAGACGGATTCACAACCAAATTCTACTCGTTGTAAAATGAATAGCTGATAACAATCTCACTGAAAGTATTCTAAAAATTTTAGGAGGAGGGACTCCTCCCTTACCGATTCTATGAGGCTAGCATCATTCTGACACCAAATCCTGGCAGAGACACAATGAACAAAAAACCAGGCTGGTAATCTCTAATGAACATAGATGTAAAAATTCTCAACAAAATACTAGCAAACCAAATCCAGCACTAAATCAAAAAACAAATTCACCACAGTTAAATAGCCTTTATTCCTGGGACACAAGGTTCGATATACACAAATCAATAAATGTGATTCATCACCTAAACGGAACTAAAGACAAAAGCCACATAATCATCTCAGTAGATGCAGAGAAGACTTTTGAAAAAATTCAACATCCCTTCATGTTCAAAATCCCCAACAAACTAGACATTGAAGGAACATATCTCAAAATATTAACAGCCATCTACGACAAACCCACAACCAACATCACACTGAATGGGCAAAAGCTGGAAGCATTCCCCTTGAGAACAAGAACAAGAGAAGGATGCCCACTCTCACCACTACTATTCGACATAGTACTTGAAGTCCTAGCCAAAGCAATCAGGCAGGAGAAATAAATAAGTGGCATCCAAGTAGGAAGAGAAGAAGTCAGTCTATCTCCCTTCACACATGGTATGGTTCTATGCCTAGAAAACTCCATAGTCTCTGCCCAAAGACATATAGATCTGATACACAATTTCAGAAAAGTTTTAGGATATAAAATCAGTGTAGGAAAATTGGTAGCATTTCCATACAACAATAATGTTCAATCTGAAAGCCAAATCAAGAATGCAATCCAATTTGCAATATCCACAAAAAGAATAAAATACCTAGGAATGCAGCTAAACCGGGAAGTGAAATATATCTTCAATGAGATTTGCAAAACACTACTGAAACAAATCAAAGACAACAAAAATGGGAAAACATTCCATACTCATGAATAGGAATTAAAAATGGTCATACATCCCAAAGCAATGTACAGATTTAATGCTATTCCTGTCAAATTACCAATGTCATTTTTCACAGAACTAGAAAAAAACTATTCTAAAATTCATATGGAACCTAAAAAGAGCCCAAATAGCCAAAGCAATTCTAATCAAAAAGAACAAAGCTGGAGGCATCACACTAACTGACTTCAAACTATACTACAAAGCTATAGTAACCAAAACAGTATGGTATTGGTACAAAAACAGAACCATAGACTGATGCAACACGTTAGAGAACCCAGATATAAAGTCCCACAAATCTACAACCATCTGATCTTTGACAAAGTTGATAAAAGCAAGCAATAAGAAAAGGATTTCCTATTCAATAAATGATGCTAGGATAACTGGCTAACCATATACAGAGGATTATAACTGGACCCCTTCCTTTCACCATACACAAAAATCAACCCATGATGAATTAAAGACTTAAACATAAAACCCAAAATTGTAAAAACTCTAGGAAAAAAAAACCTAGCAAATATTCTGGAGATAGGCCCTCGTAAAGATTTCATGATGAAAATTCCAAAAGCAATTGCAAAACAACAAAAATAGACAAATGAGACCTAATTAAACTAAGGACCTACTGCACAGCCAAAGAAACTATTAACAGAGCAAACAGACAACCTATAGAATGGGAAAAAAATATTTTCAAATGTTCGACAAAGGTCTAGTATACAGAATCTATAAGGAACTTAAATAAATCAACAAGCAAAAACAACTCAATTTAAAACAGGCAAAGTATATCGGCAATTGCTTCTCAAAAGAAGGCATACATGTGGCCAACAAGCACATGGAAAAGTGCTCATATCAGTAGTCATTAAGAAAATGCAAATCAACCCACAAATGAGATACCATCTCACATCAGTCAGAATGGCTATTATTAAAAGGTCAAAAAAACAACAGATGTTTGTGAGGTTGCAGAGAAAAGAGGATACTTATACACTGATGGTGGGAATGCAAATTAGTTCAGCCACTGTGGAAAGCAGTTTGGAGATTTCTCAAAAAAACGCGGAACTACCATTTGACCCAACAATCCCATTACTGGGTACATACCCAAATGAATATAAATTGTTCTACCATAAAGACACATACAACTGTACGTGTATCATAGCACTATTCACAATAACAAAGATATGGAATCTAACGAGATGCCCAACAATGGTTAACTGAATAAAGAAATGTGGTACATATCATATGAAACACTACATGGCCATAAAAAAGAGAATGAAATCATGTCCTTTGCAGCAATGTGGATAGAGCTAGAGGTCATTTATCCTGAATGAACTAATGTGGGAACTGAAAATCAAATACTGCATGTTCTCATTTATAAATGGGAGCTAAACATTGAGTACAAGTGGACACTAAGAAAGACATCATAGACACTGTGGCCTACTTGAGGGTGGAGGGTGGGGGACGAGTAAGGATCAAAAAAGTACCTACTGGATACTATACTCATCACCAGGGTGACAGAATAATCTGTACAACAAATCCCTACAACATGCAATTTACACATGTAACAAGCCTCCACATGTACCTCTGAGCCTGAAATAAAAGTTGGAAAGAAAATTTTAAAAGGGACAAGTGCCCCAGCTCTCAGTTTCCATGGAGTTATTTTTTATGGGAATGAAGGTAAGAAAAATCACATATATATATATTAAAAACTTCTAGACTGTTGATACAGAGATGACTAAACCACGTAAGGGAAATGGGTGACAGAAGTAATAAGAGAGAATATTCCTAAGGTGATGACATTTAATCATAGATCTGAATTAAGCTGGAGAGGTTACCTCACAGAGATTCCACCCACAGCTACCCCCACATTTTTGGATGTTCTTTTTTAACTTTTACCTGTCCTAATTGACAATGACTCTGAGAGCACTCAGGTTGGCAAAATCAACTAAAGGTATGCATTTGCTTCTCTGTTATCTCTTCCAACATGATACAGTGGAGATTTTCTTTCAGTCTAAGTGGTTACAATCTGAATATTCTCAATAGCAAAAACATGAAGTCAACTGAAGTGTCCATCAAAGGATGACTGGATACAGAAAATGCGGCATATATACAATGGAACACTATCCAGTCATAAAAGAGAATGAAGCCATGTATTTTGCAGTAACATGGGTGGAACTGGAGGCAATTATCTTAAGTGAAACAAGTCAGATGCAGAAAGAAAAATACTTCATGTTGTCACATAAAAGTGGGAGCTAAATAATGTGCACACAGACATAGAGAATGGACATAGACCGTGGAGACTGAGAAGGGAGGTGTTTGGAGAGGGGGTCAATGAGGAGAAATTACTTAATAGATACAATGTACACTATTTGGGTGATGGATACCCTGAAGGCCCTGACTTCCACTGTGCAATCTATGCATGCAGCAAAACTGCACACGTATATCATATATTTATTTAAAAATTAAAATATTAAAATAACAAATGGCTACAACCACTTGTCACAGCAAAGCATGTTTAAAGCAAATATTTGATAATTATAAATATTTGTAAGTATATACTTGATACTAATCACCTATGGCCACTCTATTAAGTCCTTGTTGTCTAGCTATGACAGGATCTTGACCTGGAATAACCAGGAAAGTAGCCACTAACCACATATGATTGTCAAACACAGGAAATATGGCTATGTGTCTGAGGAACTGCATTTCTTATTTTGCTTTCATTTCAATTAATTTACATTTACATTAAAAAAGGAAGCAGCATGATTTATTTTTCCATTGAACGTATCTTTCTTGCTCCCTCAGGTGTGCATTTGACTTTATTTGATGTATATATGTTACAAAAGATATTGTTCCATGTGGTATGCATGATACACATGTGTGTTACTTGAAATATTATGTAAAACACATCACTGGCTGGGAATGGTGCCTCACGTCTATAATCCCAGCACTTTAGGAGGCCGAGGCGGGTGGATCATGAAGTCAGGAGTTTGAGACCAGCCTGACCAACATGGTGAAACCCCGACTCTACTAAAAAATAAAAAATTAGCCAGGTGTGGTGGCAAGTGCCTGTAGTCCCAGCTACTTGGGAGGCTGAGGCAGGAGAATAGCTTGAATCTGGGAGGTGGAGGTTGCAGTGAGCTGAGATTGTGCCACTGCACTCCAGCCTGGGCAACAGAGTGAGACTCCGTCTCAAAAAAAAAAAAAAAAACCCATCACTAATCTAGACAATGTTAATAGATTGCTTCAGTTTAAATGACCTTTTGTAGGTATGTCTCTAATGTGTTGGAACACGTTTATTTGAACAGTTTATGAAGAAAACAGGAGTTATGGTGGCACCAATGCAATAGTAACTGGTAATTATATTGGGGTACTTATTATTTTAATATAAAGTAAATGTTTCCAGCATAAAAGCATGAACACATTTTTAGATTAAAGCAAAAGCATATCCATGATGCATAATTGAGTGGAAATGCAGCAGAGTAGCTGTGATATGTTGTATTCATCCATTTTCATACTGCTATGAAGAAATGCCTGAGACTGGGTCATTTTTTTTAAAAAAGAGGTTTAATGGACTCACAGTTCCACATGGCTGGGGAGGCCTCACAATCATGGCAGAAGGCGAAAGAGGAGTAAAGGCATGTCTTACATGGTGGCAGGCAAGAGAGCATGTGCAGGGGAGCTGCCCTTTACAAAACCATCAGATCTCATGAGACTTATTTATTCTCACAAGAACAGCATGGGAAAAACCTGCACTCATGATTCAGTTACCTCCCACTAGGTCCCTCCCACAACATGTGGGGATTAGGGAGCTACAATTCAAGATGAGATTTGGTTGGGACCCAGCCAAACCATATCATCTATGTAGAAGACTGAAGAAAAAAATGAAATGAGAAATAGGTATATACAAAAAAATCACATTGGATAGCAAATACAATTTACTGTGGCAGAGTGAAGACACCATTTGTTTGTAATGTTAAAAAATTACGAGAATAAACTAGATAAAATTTAAAAATTGTTTCTCTCAAGAGTCAGAATAGAATTGACAAATTTGTTTGCTTAAAATCATAAATAAATGTCCAATAATGACAAAAATCATAATGACTTATAAAATGATATGGCCTTGTAATATTGACCAGACGTAAAAATGGTTGGGTTTGTACACGAAAAAAGAAAATCATTTTTTGATAGACAGATGGCAAAAGCAATAATTATTTTGAAATTTTCTTACAATGAAAACATTTAAAAGTTTCACTTAAAATGACGAATCCTCGATTAAGCCAGCAAATAATTGCCTGTAAAAAGTAAAATATTTCTAACAATATCAATTATCACTTGACTCAAAATTAGTTTAACTTGGTCTTGCTATAAGAGATACTGCCTAATTAATATCTGAGTACATTTTAATCAAAAGACTTCCAAATTCAAAAAAAAGTCAATTCATGGCCTAAAAATTTGAACTCATGACACACATACATTTGAAATGTTTGCATCTGAAAAATAATTTCAATTATTTTCCAAAGTTTCTATGAAGATGAATGATGCTCCAACTATGCTAAGTTAAAAATTAAAGTTATTATAATTTAAAGCAAGAGACTGATGTTCACCTTGTGTCACTCAACAGTAAATTTAGAGGCTGGGTGCGGAGGCTCATTCCTGTAATTCCAGCACTTTGGAAGGCTGAGGCGGGTGGATCACTTGAGGCCAGGAGTTCGAGACCAGCCTGGCCAACATGGTGAAACCCCGTCTCTACAAAAAATACAAAAATTAGTCAGGCTTGGTGGTGCATGCTTGTAATTCCATCTACTTGGGAGGCTGAGGCATGAGAATCACTTGAACCCAGGATGGGGAGGTTGCAGTGAGCCCAGACTGTGCCACTGCACTCTGTCCTGGGTGATAGAGTGAGACTCTTGTCTCCAGAAAAAAAAAAAAAGTAAATTTAGTTTTCTGAAAAATATCATTGATATATTTATGTAAATATTTCAGAAATGCTTATAAAAAGATAATTAAATGGTCTCATGTTCTTTGCTATGTCATTGGTTGAGAAGTCAAGCAATTCACAAAGATCTACTGTACTGTTAATTTTAATTCAAAATTTTCTTGAAATAGAAGAATGTTTGCCAAATCTTCAATAATCAAAGATAAAAACAACAGCCTATTTTATGTTTTCTTGTTGACATTAAGCTGAATATTAAAGAGATAAATGTGAAGCTCCAAGGAAAAAGTAAACTTATTCATGATTTTGCTATGGAAGAGACTTTATGTTAGACTTGAAACTCTTCATAAAACAGATAATTGGCTATGATTTACTACACTGTGTAATGAGAATCAGCGCAGAAGACTGTATTTGTAAACAATGGCATCATGTAAATTGACTATAAAGCTACAAGAGAAAATGATGAATACTTTTTGATATTGATATATGTAGTATTGCTTTTCAATTTATTTAACACTTCTTTTAATTTGATGTTTAAAATAATGAGTTGACCCAAGATTTCGTCAATTTACTTAACTAGGAATATATAGTTTTGAAATTAATTGGTTTTTGCTTCAAAGTCATATCAGTTCTTCTTAAAATGCTGATTTAGTTTTGTCAATGTGAATATCCAAAGAAAATTATTTGGGGGCACTCTATTCAGCTACTGAAAAATTTAAAATATGTTTGGAACACTAGGGCATACGGATTTACTTCTTCAGCTGCAAATCTTAGAAAATCTAAGTACAGATTAAGTTTCTTTGATGAAGATGCAGCATCTTAATTGAGATATGCTAACAGTATAAAAGGCAGAACTGCATATTCAAGGCCTAATATATAAAGAACCTAAAATATTTCATGAATACATTATCTAATGACAACATGTTGAAAAGAATCATATATTCCATATACTTCATTAAACACAATATATTGTTACAACTACATAGGTTTCTTTTTACTTTTTTACTGAGGCTACTAAAATAGTTAAATTATGTATGTATCTTGGTCTATTATTTGTATTGTACAGCACTGATCTAGACCCTGTCAAAACATGGAAATACAACAATTGATACCTAGATAATAAATTAGTAACTTATACATTAAACTAATTTGTCCGTTTTATAAATACTCTTTCAATTCAGATTAGATTTACCTATATTTCCACAAAGTTAAGCTATCTTGTAAATTATATTTTATTTTATTATTTTTTCTTTCTTATAAAGATTAATTCTGAATGATTTAACTCTTAGTTTCATCTACTACAGTTGAGAAAAAGTAGCACATACACAAAATAGGAAGGAGATGTAATGGAAGCCAAACTTGGATTAAAAGAAAACAGGGACAGAGAGTGGCAGAAATCATGAATGTCTTGTTAATTAACTTCTTCTAATGACAGCTGGGTGGAGAAGTCCAGTGGGTTTTGGAGTAAATAAACAAGTCTCAAATATGTGATTACCCTATTTTATGAGATTAGATTTAGGAATTGGCTAGTTTCTCCTTTTTGGGGTTGAAATTGGGGAGAATTAATTTCACAAGCATAGGAGATATGATTATCATCACTATATTTAAATTTTATTAATAAATTACTAAGGAATTTTTAAGTGTTAGTCTTATTGCAAGTATATTAAGGGAATTTTCTCATTGAATTTTCACAAATGTAGGAGGTAAGCTCTATTATTACCCCCATAATACAGCTAAGAATGCAGGCTAGGAAATGTTAAGTCATTTGCTTAATGTCCAAGAAGCTGAGAATATCAGTGGTGGGCTATGTGAAATTATTATTAAGGGAAAAAACTACCATAAGCAATAATATTAATACCTGTGGTCATTTAGGCCACACTCTTGGCAGTAATGTTTGTTACTTAAGGCAACTATGATAAGTTTTCTTTTATCTGGCACCTAACAAAATATATTGAAAATGAAATATGTTCAAGAACATAGCAATCTGATTGTGATTTTAATCTTAAAAGGGGTAATAAAGCAGATTTCCTTAAGAAAGATCTAGCCCAAGTTTGCCACTTTGTTACTGACCTAATTCAATAAAGATGTTGACTAGTTTTCTCTCCCACTGCCTGATGTGCCCTTTACCTTAGCTTAGAATGTTTCTTCACACAGTTTTCTAGGCAGCTGCCACAATGGGGCAGAACTGGCACTTAACTTAGCACACATTTGCCATTGTTCACCCAATATGACATTTGTATAAAGAACTTCTGCAACCAAGTAGAAGAAAGGAAAGGAGAATTCGTAAGTGAGAGAAGCAATAAGAGAAGTCAATCTGTATCTTGCAAAGCAAGATGCCAATGCAGGGCTTCCTGACACCCTCCTTTCATCTGAGAACCTTCACAGATGAAATAAGACATAAAACTCAAGAGTCAAAGGCTCAAGGCATTGCAGAATCTAGAATGCGGAGGTATCCTAGCAACACAAACTTTTTCTTCTGTTTTAGTGAGAGGGTGTCAAAGGTTAAAGCCATGGCACCTACACCGCTGGCCTCATGGCCCATATGTCCTATAGCTGCAATTATAAGAGTTGGATATAAAATTTCCACTGCTTCAGTCCTTTCCCAAGGGACTCAACAGTTGAAGGGCACTGCAGCCCCTCTCATCTTCTGTACATGTGTGTGCGGATGCGTATGTGTGTGTGTGTTATACCAATGTCATTTCTGCTTTTGGGTCTTTATATTTTCTGATTCTTCTGCCTGAAACACTTTCTCCCTCTGTCTTTTACAGGTCTCAGATTACAGGTGACAGTAAAGAGAATCTTGAGCTTCGAAAACAAGGAGTCCTATCTGCTTGTCTTGCTTACTGATAAATTGGCCATGCGTAGCTCCATGCCTTATACGTGGTAAGCAGTCAAATATTCAAGAGTAGATGAGTAATATGAAGGAACATTCATTTGAATGGAATTTTTTAAATTTCAAAACTCTTTCAACTTGCATACAATTTACAAAAAGACTTAGGATATTAATGATTATGTTGTCCTGATTGCTCGGTTGAGGAAATTAAGGCCAAAGAGAAGACGGTTTGCCCAAAATAACTCAGTGGGCAGGTGAGAACACAGGACTTCTGATTTCAAGCCCTGTATTCTTTCTATTACAGAAATAAATAGTTATTAAGATTTTTTTCTGGTCTACTCTGTGAATATGGATTGATAAGATCTGAAAATTTTATGACATATCCCTATGTTTTGATCCTTGCTCTCAAATGTGATACTCTCATTCCCCCACCTGAGCCCTGAGATGCTAAAATATTATATACGTTTTCATATTTCCAACTAAATCTTATATTTCTGAGGTTATCATGGCTTCACATATTTTATGCCCTCCTTGCAAAATGTCCTTCCTCCCTTTGCCTCCTTTCAAAGTCCAGTCTCGTATATCCTAAGCCTTTCAGGAAGAGTCAGTCATCTCCTTTTCCACACTCTTCCCTGTCTGCTGTGCCGAGTGACCATTCCTGACATTGCAGTTTGATGTTTTATTTTGCCAATGTACCAACCTGATCTCACTAGACAGAATTGCATATTGTAGTTATTGGTGAACATAGAGTGCCTAGCATTTCATGTTAAAAGGTTGATCTTGGGAGCATGGCAAAAGCAGAAAGTGTGATGATGCTGTGTGGAAGGTCTATTCCAAGTTCTGTATAGAGCCAGAATCCTTTTCAGCAATTGAAGGACAAAATCTAATGCATCCCCACTGAGTAACAGAGAAAAAGCCTAGATGCTGTGAAATAGAGAAATGTGTGGGAGATAAGGTAGTAATTAACCTCTTCGTATGTGTGCCCAACAGCAATCTTCCACAAGGGCTAGGCAATTTGCAATGAAGATGAAGTTTAAGACATAAAAGGAAGTAAGATTGATCTCATGAAGGCTCCATTTCACAAACACCTTCGGGCATTTCCAATCAACACAGGTTGTTAACATATGCATTTGTGATTTTTTTCTTTCTTTTTCTAAAAATGGAAATATCTTTAAAAAGCAGTCTTATGAAAATAGAAAATGCTCTCATCTCTTACTTTAAGCAAAGTTATAAGTGGGAATCTTGTTTATTATAGTTCTGGTTTGAATACATTTACTGGAAATGTATAATAACACTATAGAGAGAAAGACTGTGCAAGACTTGATGGCAGAGAAGATATTCTGAGTTGATCTGAATTCATATCACAGAGAGGAGGAAAAAGAGGCAGATATAAAATCATATTTGGTTGAATGACATATCAAGCAACCCTGGGTCAAAACACTAAACAATACTTACAACTCACACAAACAACCTGATTCTGTAAATTTCTTTCTAAATTGAAGAGCAGATTCCTGCAGGCTTTGAAAGGGAATTCTTTTCTAAATTATCGGGTAATTTCCTCCACTCCAGTTGAGCTATATAATCAGACGTGGTCAAAACACTGTTCTAGGAAGTGTAATAGAAAACGAATTCAGCAGAATCATGACTTCGTGGACCCACATCTGCAGAAAGGGGTCAGAAATGAAAATGGCAAATATATGAGCTAGACTTTAGCTGGTTTTTGCTTGAAAAAAAAATCCATTATTGTACTGTATTCATAGAGTTTTGAAACTATTGTAATTGGAAATACATTTTAAATTGTACATATTACTATACGAGACCCTTAGAAATCTGGACTCATGAAGAAACGTACTTCACATGCACTCATTTTATACTCCTAATGATAATTAGAAAAAAAATGAGGCCCATGAAACTGAGCAAATTAGTATAGCTAAAATGTGGTACGTAGTACAGGACTTAATTTTGCTTCCCGCCCACGTTTAAAACAGAGCTTCCCTCCATATGTATTTTGCTTATGTTAGCTACCTAAAAAATTAAATCACACAGCCCTGAACCTCCAAAATGGCAACTGATCTTTAGAAAAATCTTGTGTGTATTTTAATGTAAATCTAGTGTATAAACAATTTCTGTTTTTAAAAATGTGTGTTTGGGCCTAATCTCCTGCTGTCAATGAATTTGTGTAGTGCTCCTGTTTTAGCCTCCAGAAATGGAAGATAACTCCAAATTAAGCCTATGTACAATACCTTGGCCTGGCACACACCTATTCTTGGCATTAGATAAGAATGGAAAAGCCAGATTCTTGACTAAGACAGTATAAAGGGGTATTGGGGGGAAGGCTTATTGAAAGGAAGTTTTCTTTTTCTCTCCTTTCTGAACAGAGTGATGTCCTTAGCATCACAGGGTATTGAGTTGTTGGTAAAGCCTCAGGTTGCTGGAATGCAACTGGTGGGTGGCATTGCAGAAGGCTACTTTTACCCATTCATTCATTCACTCATTCGTTCATTTAACAAATGTTTTTTGAGTGCCAACTGTGCGCCAGATAATGTTTTAAGCACTGGGGATGCAAAAGTGAACAAAACAGAGAAGATCCTTGCTCTCAGGAAATTTGTGTGTATTGGCTAGAAAACAATCAATACAAAGTTAAGCAAATAATTATTATTATTTTTCTTGAGACAAAGTCTTGCTCTGTCGCCCAGGCTAGAGTGCAATGGCATGATCTCAGCTCACTGCAACCTTCGCCTCCCGCGTTCAAGCGACTCTTGTGCCTCAGCCTCCCAAGCATCTGGGACTACAGGTGTGTGACACCACATCCAGCTAATTTTTGTATTTTTAGTAGAGATGGGGTTTCACCATGTTGGCCAGGCTGTTCTCAAACTCGTGACCTCAAGTGACCCACCTACCCAGGCCTCCCAAAGTGCTGGGATTATCAGCATGAGCCACCACACCCAGCCAAACAAAGAATTCTTCTTGGGAGATTTTCTCCATAACACTTATTAGAAACTGTTATATCAGGGCAGAGTATTAAGAGAAGAACTTTCTGGGGAGGTCAGTTTGAGCTGACCTCTGAAAGATGAAACAGAGCTGGTCATAGAAAGAACAAAGAATGGAGGTGGGAAAGGTGGGAGTGGACTATTTTATGTGAATCAGTGCGTAAATCAGACATGTCTTCAACTAGGATCTTCCAATATATCAAATGCCAAAACATTCATTTATTTCACCGATATATGTACATTGATTTTGCTTCAGTGTTTTGAGTATGCATGCTTTTTTACCTGTGGACTCATGTACTTAGTATTTTGTTGGCTTTCTCTTGCCAGGGTATTCTCTCACTGGCTCATTCATTTATTTTTGGCTAATACTGACTCTTCCATTTAGGTTTAATTGCAAACATCATATAAGGTTTCCATGGCCCTTAACTATAAGTACATATGGGCCTTCTTTTTTTTCTGTTAAGACATTTCTGTATTTAATCTACAGATAAATGTACACTGCCACTCCAAATATGTAAGAAGGGTTTAATAAAGATGTAAAGAGAAGATCATTAGTTCTAGAAAGATTAAAAAGTCTGCCAAAACTGATAGAATCAGCACATGTGTTCACACAAAATAAGCAAGTGGAAAATGATTCACAATGCAGAATAAGACATTATCCAAGACTCTCAAGGAAAGATGTGACAGCAGATCCCTGTTTCTTATTTGCTGGAAATGTAACAACTCTGGTAACCCTTCCAGTGATAAGAGTGTGCTGAAGAGTGTCATGAGAAAGGAGTAATTACGGCAGGTTATATGGTAACCAGACATTGTAGTGATGATATGTTTTTGGCAGGAGTTCTGGTGAGGGTGATAGAGAAGGCACTTACTGATATCTTCTGACATCTCAATGGGGTTACTTCACTGGACGGGTTCTCTGCTCTTTGACATGGTTAACCCAGGGTAAGGGTGGATAAAAAAGCGGTTTAATGGAAAACTTTGAGATATTTTATCTTGATCACCATGATTACCAATCCAGAAAAACACTATTTCTAAAATCTTTATGTAGAAAACCTAGTTTGGTACTCAGAACACACCTATGGGTTAAGTGTGTTGTTCATCATTCCCAAAATCAGATGAGCCACCTAAAGCAGAGAGGGGTTGAGAATTGACAAGAGATCATAAAACCAGTGGATGACAGAGCTGGGGTAAAAACCAAGGCAGGCTAGCACTGAGTCCAAGTTCTTAAACATGTCCCAACCCTGAATCAAAGAATGAATTAATTAATGGCTATTTGGGAGTGTCTATTTTATCATTAACTGTGAATTAATTTATTATAAAAGAAACACTGCATCTAAACTCCCAGTAGTTCACAACTGGGGGAAATTCTTGGAATTTGGCAAGGGAATATTTTGCAATGTCTGGGTACATTTTTGGTTTTCACATCAAGGGGTAAGGGCATGTTATTAGCACAGAGTGATGAAAGTCAGTGAAGTTGCTAAGGATGCTGTAGTGCACAGGAGAGTATCCAAAACAAAGAACTGTCCAACCTAGAATGCCAATAATGGTGCTACTGAGAAATCTTGTTGTAGCCTATATTCTAAAAATCCCAACTTTTGTGAATCTCTGATTCCTCCTTTGTTAAAGGGGAGAATCATATCTATGTCGAAGCCGTGATAGTCAAAATCAAAATAGATGGTGACATTCATAACAATGCCTGTACATGGTTAAGAACTTTAATATTTTAGATATTAGCTGGAAAATTTCATCTTTGTTTTAGTCTTTTTTTAATGTGGTTTTAGAAAGACCACTTAATAGAAAAGATATGATGGTTAGATAGTCTGGTGAAATTTCATAGGGGAATCAATTAGGAAGATTTTATATATATATATAGGGTCTAAGCAATAAATAATGCTCATCTGAACTAGTGAGGTACAAGAATCAGAAAAAAAAGGAGCACTAGCCTTTCATACCCACCTAATATTACTGGCTCACCCACATTGATTAGAATGTGAAGTTTTTATTTATTTATTTATTTTTTACTTTTGAAACTTCATCTTTTATTATGAAACTGAGAATAATGTCAGTTTAATCTTTTCTTGCAAACAATGGTGTTTCATTTCCTATGTCTAAAATATTTTAATCTATAAAATGAATTATATGTTCACAAATCAGACTGTCATCTTTCAGGTAGCTGTGTATGCATTCATGCTCACACACACACACACACACACACACACATCCAATTTGAAGTTGTGAATTATTATTTGAAAGGTGTAGGTTTCACATGAGAAATTTCATCATCTGAAATTGCCTTGTCATTGAGGATAATAAGAATGAAATTCAGCTACTGAAAGGAACAAAGACAAATATTGAAAGATGGGAGACTTTTCTAATCCGCTGCAGAACTGTAGAGTCTTCTGTGAGATTAAGCTGAGACACCATTTGCAGAAATCACTAACTGTTTCAGTTTATTAAAAGATTAAGACTAAATCTATTTGGGTAATATGTGGTTTGCAAGATGAGAAATTTCTTCAAAATCAATGCTTTTGCTTTTCCATTTCCTCTCAGCTCACTAAGAGGTAATCAACATGGGAGTAGCTCTGATCACACTAAGAGAACATTCTGATCTTCATTAGTGCACGGTCGATGCAAGAAATTTTATCTTACATGAAAATCTAGAGAGAGTTCTCCTAAAATTAAAACCCTCTTCTGTTTCAACACATCAAGCTACAGGGTTTCATAATCCCCACAATTAATACACTACTGTGCATACAACTTTCAAAATTGGGCTTCAGAAGTTGTAAATAGAGGCTGCATGGTTGAAAATCAATAAACTGCAATATCTCTCATCTTTTTATATTTCATCTCCACACCTTTCCTTTTGTGGGATTATGGAGAGGAGAGATGTGAGATGATATAAGGAAATGTAAAAACAAAACCAGATTACTTTTACTTAGTCCTTAACTCATCTATAATATCTCCTTTATATGCAACATTGTATGCATGGAATAAAATGCAGATTGTTCTTTGGTGATTGTGTTTATTTGGTTAATAATGCATTAATGAATCCATTCTTTTGTTCATTGAGCCAATGAAATGTTTCTTGAACATATACGTTTCAGTTCTTGTGCTGGGCACAAGGTGCCAAACTAATACAAGATCTGTTTCCTCAGAGACTCAAGTTCTTGAGAAAAAGTAGGCATAGAAACACAACAATGTAATAAAAATTGTGTAATAAGTGTCATGATTAAAGTCAATAAGTGAAGCTACAATCATAATTAGAAGGGATCCTTAGCCTCTCTTGTGCCAAGGGTCTTTAAGGAAGATTTAGAAAAGTAATGGCCAGTTTTTAATTGGGTCTGATTAAAAAAATAGAGACAATCCAGTGATTGGATACCTTTTACTTTTTATATAGGAGGAAGGATTATTAATGTGCAGCTAGAGTTTTCATTATATTTCATTTATCTAGAGTTTATACAATTTATTTCCAAGAAACGATAAGCCAGTTAATCAAAAACCATGATGTTCACTGTTTTTGTTTTTCATTTATGTGTATGTGTGTTTCTTTCTTTTTGTGTCTCTCTTTTTTTGGTTGTTTGTTTTGGTTGTTGCATGGTGTCTGTTCCGTCTTGTTTCACTGATGATTTCGTATCTGCCTCTTGTTTCATCATGGTTACACGGTGTCTGTGGTAGCACTGCTCATATTCTGTGCATACTCTTTATGTTCAGTCAGAAATACTGCTGACCTGTCATCTCCTAACTGTGAGCAACCAGCTGCCAGCAATCAGGATCATTTTTAAAAATTTATTTTCCCAATAAACTGCATGTCATTAAATTTTCCCCTATACAGGACATTTATATTGTTCTCACTTTATTTTTAGCTATTTATCACAAAACAATGCTGCCGTAAGTATACATGTATATGCTAAAAGGTAGAATTTCTCAGTAGTAGTGATATACCTATTACATTTATCAGACAGTGACAAATTTTTATCCAACATTTTGGAACCAATATTCAATGTTTACACTTTTTCCAGTATTATAAAAATGTTCATACCACCTTATATTAGTCCAATCAATATTTACAGCCTTTTTGTTTACCCATGTAATTTGTGTGTCTGTGTATGTGTATGTGTGTGTGTGTCCTGATTAAGCACTTGTTCATGTGTTGATTTTGCAACTGGAATTTTTCTCTTCCGTGAATTACCTATTCCTTTATCCAAATTTCCTTTGATTACTTTTGTCTTACAAATTTTACATAGTTCTTATATTTTATTAAATCAAATCAATTGTCAGTAGCTAATAGCTCCATTAAGTATTCTACTTATCTTTAAGGCTTATTTATATTATTTTATCACAGAAACTTTTGGTGCATGGATCAAAAATAGGAAGTTCTAGAGAAAAATGTATAAATTATTGTTAAAGAGAAGACATGGGATAATCTACATGCAGAAGGGATGCAGGAGGAAGGGAAAGAAAGAGAGTTACTATTGAGACTTCAGGCTTAATTTAGATTTTTATTTTGTACTTCCATGAAGCTTACCTTATAAAATTTACTGTGACATTATGCTGAACTTTTGCCTATAATTATCTACATATTTTCCCAAAATTTCCCACCACCTTATCTGCTACACTAGAAGTTATCTCTAGCTTTAAAATAAATATAATAATCTGCATGTTCACACAAAGAAGAAAAGTTACAGTTTATTTTCTATTTTTCAGGATTTTGAACATGAAATAGACACTGAAGAAACATTTATTGAATAGATGAGAATGGTTGAAATAATAATGTTCTTTATTTGCAATTCTTCAGGCTACTACATCCTTCTAAAATCACTTCATAGCGTACAGAAAAAACATTTCCTGTATATACCTGCTTTATTTAGAAGCAACTAACCTGAGACTTCACAGACACACCATTCTGGTCACAAACTCTAAATCTGTCATTAATAGCTGTGTAACCTTGACCAAGGCAAATCAGCTTTCAGCACTCAATGTCCTCATCTACAAAACATCTACAAAACATATCTTTCTTTCTTTCTATATATGAGATTGCAATGGAAAGGTTTAAGCAGAAATCATAAACTAAAATTCCTACAAGTGGCAAGAATGCATGTGAACTGCATGAAGGAAACAGTCATATACACAAGTGAGGCAGGGACCTTGGCTAGCTGGAGAATATATGTACTAGCCAATTTTTGCCATGGAGAAATGAGAGCTCGCTGTAGCCAGATTTCTTCTTTTGAATGGAAGCCATAAATATAAGTTTTTTAATGTGGCATCAGTAAACAAGTAAACTATGTACATAAGACTTCAAAACAGGCAAAAAAAATTCTATTGAATTTCAAAATAACACTGAAGTATACAGATACCTGAGAAATTTTGACAAGTTCAATTATCATGTATAAGCAATTCCTAGCTATGCTATTTCTGAAACATTTAAAAAATATTTTCGAAGACTTCATTGATTGCCATATTGCTGTATGCAAATTATAGTTGACCTAATTTCTGTCACTATTTATAATTAAATATCTTGTGGTTGTAAGCAAAATGATGGAACTGGAGATCTGTAGCTCTAGTTCCCTTCACAAAATTACTGACTAGCTATCCACAGTCAAGAACACCTCTGTGAAAATCCCAGAAGCTAGGGATAAGGCTGAAGTACCCCCTTGGAGCTCAAAAACCAAGAAAAGGTGCCACTTATTCACCAGGCTTCACAGCACCACGCTGAGGAGGATACCCTGAGGCTACAGGTTTTCCATGGGAAAAAGAGAACCTGAGACAGAAATCTAACTTCCATAGCATTATTGGGAACTTCCCAGGATAACCATTTTTATCTCATCCTGCAAGGAGCACTGGTGAAATTGGTAAGGCTAGAACACCTGGGATCAGCTAGGAACAAAGAAGGTGTACAGAGCTAACTCTTAGTTAGCTCGTGTGTATCCCCATCGGTTGCCTTAATCAACCAGAAAGACCAGCCAGATATTTTGCCCACACATGGAGCCTAGCCCGATGGCCCCATCTGGCAAGGGAGAATGTTCAGCAGTCCTATCTAAGTTAGCCAGCCAATGGTCTAGCCTGGGAATTGGGCCCAACAGGTAGCCCTGACTAGGGAGGTAGCAAGCCTGCAGCTCAGTTCAACTATGGAGTATAGCCTGTGGCCTCTCTTGGCTATGGAGCCCGGCCTATAACCCAACCAACTGTGGAGCATAGCCTTCAGGCCCAGCTGACTAAGAAGCCTGGCAAACAAATCCATGCTACTAAAGGGCATAGATAATGTCCCTGCCTGCTAACCTGACTGCAGCATACACCCTGCAGTACTACCTGAGCACAGAGTATAGCCAGAAATACCACTTAGCCTGTAGCACTACTCAAACATGAATGATTCCAGAGCCCAGCCTGAGATTATGCCCAATTATGAAGTTCAACTTATGCTGACTGGCTGGAGAGGCCAGCTGGCAGCCTTACCTGACCTCAAGAGTGTGTACAGTGTCTCTGCCTGACTAGAGTCTTGGCAGCAAGTCCCACCTGCCCACGGACATTACTTGGTTGCTTGTCTAGAACCCCAGGCTGTGCTGAATGTTGAAGGTTGTTCCTTAACAAGGAGAGGCTCTGAAGTTTTTAAAAAAGTGGTCACTTTCTCAAATGCCTGGACACAAATGAAGAATACAGGGATCAGAAGGAACTGGAAAAACAGAACACCACCAAAGGAAACTAATAAAGTTCCAATAATCTGCCCTAAAGAAATAGAGATCTATGATTTGACTGAAAAAAAATTCAAGATAATCCTCTTAGATATTGTCAGAGAACTATAATTAACTAATCAACTTTAGAAAAACAATACATGAGCAAAAGGAGGAGTTCAACAAACAATTTTTGGAAACCTACAGCTGAAGAATTAATTTTATTCTCATTAATTTTATTAGCTCAAAAATTTAATAGACTATTTCAACAGCAGACTCAGTGATACAGAAGAAAAAAATGAGTTCAAAGACAGGTAATAAGAAATTGTCAAGTCAGAAAGGGAAAAAGAAAAAAGTTTGAATTAGATTGAAGAAAGTCTATGGAACTTTGAGACACCATCAACCCAAACAAGTTTAACTACAACACAATTGTAATTAGCACAGCATGGTACAGACATGAAAACAAAAACAAAGTAGACTCATGGAACAGAATAGGAAGCCAGGAATAAACCTACATATTTAAGGTCAACAAATCATTGGCAAAAGCCAAGAATTCACAATGAGGAAAGAATAATCTCTTCAATTAATGGTGTTAGTAATACTGCATATCCATATGCAGAAGAACAGTGCTGGACTCCTACCTTAAGCCACTCAAAAAAGTGAACTAAAAATGGATTTAGAACCTAAATGTCAGATCTTAAACCATAAAACTTCTAGAAGAAAATATAGGGAAAAGCTCTTGAGAACTGGCTTTTGGCAATAATTTTTTGGATATGATGTCAAAAACACAGTTAAAAAAAATGGTGGAACTACATCAAACTAAAATCTTTTGCACAGAAAAAAAAATAATAAAAATGAGAAGTCAACTTATGAAATGCAAAAAAAATTGCAAACCATGATTCTAAAAGGAGTTAATATTGAAAATATATAAATAACTCATACAACTACATAGCAAAATATATATATGATAAATAATTTGGTTTAAAAATGGACAAAGTACCTAAGTACACATTTTTCCAAACACATACAAATGGATAATAGGTACATACATACACTTTGTTTCTGAATCATTTGGAAAGATGTTGCTTACATATTCCCCTTTATTCGTAGGAAATTCAGTTTATTTTTTAATAGCAAGGAAATTATCCTACATAATCATAGTATACTTAAAATCAGGAAATTAATATTCTTAAATTATTATCACCTAAAACACAGGCCTTATCTAATTTTTTCAATCTAATGTTTTTTTTCAATTGCCCCACTACTGTCTTCATTGCAAAAGAAAGAAAAAGTCTGGTCTCTTGTAAAATGGAAATTTTCTCAGTCTTTCTTTGCCTTACATAATCTTGATTTTTCTGAAGAATACAGATATTTATTTTAAAAATAACTCTAAATCTTATTTTCTTTGATATTTTCAAGTTTATTAATATTAATAAAAGTATATGCATATGTACACATGCATATGCATATATATGTATAAATAAAAGTATGTGCATATATCAGAGCTATGAACATATATGATATATTCATATATATGAATATTTAAGAGCTATTCATATATATGAATACATTAATATATATTTATACATATTTAAATATGGAAACATTCATATATATTATTTGGCAGTTATCTAGATAGATAATAAGAGGATATGGTATTGCATGTATATATTTGATCAAGCATTATCTATTAATAAGATCAAAATCACAATCCTTTATCAATGCTTTATACTTTTTCCCTTTGATATTAATCTGTTTTTGATTGATTTTGTGGTTTGATATAAAATAGGGAAGCATTTTTAAACATAAAAATACCCAATTATTCTAGATCTATTCATTCATTCAAAACCCAGACTATATCTAATACTTCCTATATTTTTCAGAAATCAAATGTGAAAGGCCTATTTTGGGGGTTCTCTCTTTAGTTCCATTTATTATTTGTTTATTCTGGTTCTATCATTGCACTTTCACAATTTTATAGTTTTGTAGTTATAAGATCTGTTCTATACAACTATACAACAGTGTTTTGATACAATGTTCTATACAAGTGTTTTGATACAATGGCATCTTGGCTCTTGAAATTGAAAATAAGCAGGACAAAACAATACAGTAAGATTAGGGTTCTGTTTGGCCTTGATAGAATCGCTAAATCAATATAGGCAGAAATGATGTATTGATAATAGTGAATGTTCTAATCTATAAACATAAACCATCTTTCTATTTATTTAAGTCATTTCAAATGTCTCCTGAAAAATGTTTTGCAAACATGTTTTATTAGATTTACAACTTTTTCTTGATTTTTAGTGATATTAAAATGTTCCTTTTAAATTTTGTTTTATTTTGTACTGATTTCTCCTTTGAAAATGTTTTAAAGTTTGATTCTTTTTTAGGAACCATAGTTTTTCTATGTACACCATGATACCACATATGAATAAGAAAATTTCATTTGCTGTGTTTGTTTTTTTTTAATTCTCATACAGTTTGTCTCTTATTGTTGCCTTATTGCACAGGCAGGGATTTCTAATGCAAAGTTTATTGTAAGAGGTAATAGTAGAGAAATTTCTCCTTTCTTATTTCAAAGAGAAAGTTTTCCATGTTCTACAAAATATGTTTAAGTTTTATTGTAGATATTCTTTATTAGAATTTAAAAAACCCTTATCTTCCAAGTTGCTACACAATCTCCTATTTTTCATAAATGGAAGAAACATTAAATTGTTTTATAAATCTTCTTTGTATGCATCTGTGAAATTAATTAGACAGTGAATCACTTTAATCTTTTAATGTGATTAATCACATTGATTTTCTAACATTAAGCAAGTCTTTCTTGGGGAAAAACTAATTAGGTCATGATATATTAACATATTTTATATTTTACTGGAGTAACTTCGCTAATATTTTGCTTAATATATTTGTATCAATAATGCTGAACATGATTACTCATTTATTTTGGGGATAAAAGTTTTTCTGTCTTCATGAAATAAGTTGAGAAATATTTCTTTCTATTAATATATGGAAGAATATATCCAAAGTTGAAATTAGTTTTTAAATATTTGGTAAAATTCTTCATTGAAGAAATGTAGGACTGGAATTTTCTTTGTATCAACATTTAAAATCTTTTTATAGTTGCTTAATTTTTGTATCACTGTATAAGCATTTCTATTTTTTCTTGGAACTGTATGCATAGAATGTGTCCATTTCATCTGTATTTTCAAATTTATCTACCTAAAATTATTATTCTATTAAGTATTTATTCACTGCATCATCTGTAGCCATGCCTTCTTCTCATGACCTTCTTATTTTAAGTTCTTGGTAAGATATATTATAGAATTGTAAATATTATTAGTCCTTCAAAAAACTAAGCAAGCAACCAAATTTGGGTCTTATTGATGAGCTGTATATTTTGCTTTTTCTTCCTCCTACTCTTGCTCTTACCTTTAATATTTCTTCCCTTATACATTCTATGAACTTATTTTGCTATATACTTTCTCAAATTTCTGTTTCCAATGCTAAGGTCATTAAACTGTTCTTCCCTTTCCTTTTTATAGCATAAATAAAAGGCTTTAAATTTTTCTTTAAGTATTGCTTTTGATAAAAATTGGTTTTGGAATGTTTTGTTTTATTTGTTACTCAAGTCAAAATATAAACTATTTTTTTTCATTTTCTCTTTTCACCCATGAATTATGGAGCAATTAATTTCTTTTTTTTTTTTTTTTCAGACGGAGTCTCGCTCTTTCGCCCAGGCCGGACTGCAGTGGCGCTGCCTCAGTTCACTGCAAGCTCCGCTTCCCGGATTCACGCCATTCTGCTGCCTCAGCCTCCTGAGTAGCTGGGATTACAGGCGCCAGCCACCGCGCCCGGCTAATTTTTTGTACTTTTAGTAGAGACAGGATTTCACCCCGTGTTAGCCAAGATGGTCTCGGTCTCCTGACCTCGTGATCTGCCTGCCTCGGCCTCCCAAAGTGGTGGGATTACAGGCGTAAGCCACCGCGCCCGGCCTGAGCAATGAATTTCTTAATTGCCAAACATAACACAATGTTAGTTTTATCTTTACATTTGAAATCTGACTGATTGCACTATTGATGGAGGGCAAACTTTGAAATTTGGGGGAGTTGCTTAATCACCAAACACATGATCAACCTTTTTAATGTTCTGTGAATGCTTGAAAAAAAAAGTTGATTTGGTGGTTATTGTATGCAATGTTCTATAAAACTCAATTTTTTAAATGTTTAAATAATGGTATTTATGTTATAATATTTGTAATATTTTATCAAGGTTTTCTACTGATTTTTCAACATGTTTTTTAATATGCCCATTAAAATTTGCATATTTCTTCTTGCAGTTCTGTCAGCTTTTGTTGGTATATTTTGAGGCCATATTACTAGATAAGAAAAGTAATTAAAATTGTGAATTTAATTCACAATTTATCATTATCAATAACAGTTTCCTTTATGTCTAGTAATGAATTTTGCCTTAACTTCCTTTTTCATTTTATTTTTGTTAACAGTGTAGATGGCCTGGATTTCGTTAGTTTTATCATATGTTCTTTGTCTTTTTCCCTACAATCCTAGCAGTTGTTGCTTGCTATTGCCCTCAAAATTATTTTTTGTGTGTGTCCCTGGAAAGTCAGATTGATACGTTATTCTATAAAGAGGCTGTGTATTTGTTTCTGCTAAGCACCTAGGGGCACGTAAGGTCACTGTTAACGGTACTGCATCCAATCTTGTTCAAAGTTTGAGAGTCCCTTGATCACAAGGCTATGAATTCTCAGAATAGACATAAATATTGTGGCCAAAGGAGAGGAGGAAGGAATTATAGATTCGGCTTCCTCTCACCCTGAGAACATAGACATTAAGACCCCAGATCAATATTGGATCAATATTGGAAGGTGATATTACAACCTCACCCCTGTTCGGGATTGGGTCCTTACTTCTGGCTCTGGCTCAGAGTGACCAGGGAACTGCAAAACATGTATTCGTGATGAGTAATTTAGAATACATGTAGTTTTGGTGCTCCTATATTCTACATACCTTTCTGATTTTAGGCTTTTTTTTTTCCCACAAAATTTGCATGGAAAATATTTTTTTTCAAATTCTGCTTTTGTTTTGATTTTTTATTTATTTTTTAACTTAGTATTTGATAGGTGCTATTTCTAGAGATAGTGATGTTCTGAGTTAAGCTAGTCTGCCACTAACATAAATTGAGATACTTCCACGTATATTTTCTACTTTTACTTTGTAGCTCATGTTTTCTTGACTAACTCATGTGGAAATAAATTGTAATGTTACACAATGCTAGCTCACTGACTTCAATATGTTGTTTTATTTACAACTGAGAAGAAAATTCTCTAAAGGAGTTGTGAATTACGCAAGGATCAGAACTATCGAACTGCCTTAGAAAAAGCCCACAAACAAGTCTTGACTAAATTAGGGTTTGTTATTTTTAACTTGAAAATGGTTGTTTATTTTTATTTCCTGACATCTACACACATTCACATTATCACTGGATTTGTCAATCAAATCCTTTTTTACGAGATCTAAATTAATATAGTGCCTTCCCTCTCCCCCTGCCATTAAACCTGGAAAATAACTCCAGAGAATCCATCCAAGTGACTTAGTTTGATGAAATAAATCAAGACATAGCATAATGTCTGGCACATGTTGAACTTCTAATATACGTTTGTTGAGTGAATTGAAATGTTAAATTGTACCTGAAAATTACCTAGCATATGTCAGGTAAAATTTAATGGTCAGCTTGTTAAATTGTTGTTTGATGTTTATAATATATTTAAGAAAATGGGCACCTAGAAATTATAAAAGGAAGATAATTAAAATTTTGCACACACACAAAAAGTATATGTATGTATTTATAATATATATAAATCTTTGGCAATGTTTTGTTTTATTTTTACATGAGTTCTTAAACATATAAATTAACACTAAGTGTGATTTATTTAAAAGTGAAAATTGAGTTCTCTCTAGGGAATATATTTACCGTTTATATAAATCTTCAGCTTTTAAAATGGAATGTTAGCTTCATTTGGGGGAGCACCAAGGTGTGTGTGTGTGTGTGTGTGTGTGTGTGTGTAATACATTTCAGAATGATATGAAGATTAACTAGGTAACACAATGCTTTAGGCTTGGGGTATGTATGTGTGACACAAGGTATCACTCTATTGCCCAGGATTGAGTTCACTGTAGTGCAATGGCAAAATCATGACTCACTGCAGTCTCGGCCTTCTGGGCTCAGGTGCTCTTCCCACCTCAGCCTCCCAAGTAACTGAGAATATCGGCACGTGCCACCATGCCAGTCTAATTTTTTCTATTTTTTTGCAGAGATGGGTTTTGCCATTTTTCCCAGGCTGCTCTTGAACTCCTGGGCTCGAGCCATTCTCCTACCCCAGCCTCCCAAAGTGCTAGGACTGCAGGCTTGAGCCACCATGCGTGGCCTAGGCTTGGTTTTTAGAACAGAAGAGGTTGCTCTGCTGGATCTCTATCTGCTGTTCCATGTCTAGTCCCTTTCCTTCTCTTTCCTGCTCTATGCCCTGAGAGGCTGAGTAAATGGACCACATCAGCAACTTCCCTTGATATGTTGCTTTGGTTTTGGTTTAGCTAAAAGGGGGCAATGGCAGGAGTAGAAGGAAGAAAGTCAGTAAAGTGTATAGAGTCCCTCATATAAAGGTCACTGTTCCTCTTAAGGGAGCCTTACCTCCACATCTCACCTTCCAGGTTTTAGAAACCACTCTCTCCCTCAATTCTTTAGGTCTAGCAGTAGGTAAATCACTGTTTTCACTAATTCTAGGTTTCTGTTCTGTTTTTTTTTTGGGTGGGGGGGGCAGGGGTTCTCTGCTCTCCATGCATAACTTTATAAATAGTCCCTTGATTAAACTTTCCTCCAATTATACTAACTTGGGTGGTCTATTTGTTTCCTGTAGCCACCTACAGGCAGTCACTCTGTACCCACAGTAATTGGCCAAAGTCATTTAGTTATTATTATGTGGAACAAAAAGTCATTGCTAAGCATACTCAAATAGCTCTGGGCCATGGATTCCCTACATTCAATATTAAAGTGGAAACATTACCCAAATATACCATGAAAGGAGTTAGCCAAACAAAGCTTTGAATCTTGGTTTTGTGCACTTTCTAGAATGTCGGGTAAGTTTCATAACCCCTCTGATCCCCAGTGCATTATCTTCAAGTAAGGAATATTAATATGTACATAGTAGGATTGGTTTAATGATTACATGAGATAACACAGATAAATAATAGTCCTTAGCATGTGGTGCATCTCATTTAAGATGAATTCCTATGTAGTCTAAACAGAAAAGAAGCAAATATTTTGGAGAACCATATCAATCAATTTGTGAATATACTAATGCACATAATTACATTCCCCTTCCTTTGACCATTGATTTATCTTTATATCTGCAATGCCCTTTCATGAATCTCTATTGTTATTATTTTTTGAACCTTCTTCCTGCTCTTCCATGAACAGTGTCCTTCTTATCTTCCTAGGCCATTTTAAGAACATTTTGGAAGGTGGAGGCCCTACAATGTTTATTTATATAAAGAATTCTGTTCACAAAAAGGGAGGAAGGAGAAGAAAAAGGATACAAAAAAGGAGATGCAGGCCGGGCACGGTGGCTCACACCTGTAATCCCAACACTTTGGGAAGCCAAGGTTGGTGGATCACTTGAGGTCAGGAGTTTGAGACCAGCCTGGGAAACATGGCAAAACCCCATCTCTACTAAAAATTCAAAAATTGGCCAGGCGTGGTGGTGTGCACCTGCAATTCCAGCTACTTGGAAGGCTGAGGCAGGAGAATTGCTTGAACCCAGGAGGCAGAGGTTGCAGTGAGCTGAGATCGTACCATTGCACTCCAGCCTGGGTGACAGAGCAATATTCTGTCAAAAAAAACACAAAAAACAAAAAAGGAAAAGAAAAGAAAAGGAGATGAAGAAAAGGGAGAAGAAAAAGAAGAAAGTTGGAAGACTTACACTATCTCTCCTATTTCAAGGCTTACCATAAAATTATAGTAATCAAAATGGTGTAGTGTTAGGAAATTGGGAAAATAATACACTTTATCAATGAAATAGAATGGAAAACCCAGAAGTAGACCCACACGAAAATAATCAACTAATGTATGACTAAGGAACAAATGCAATCGAATATAAAAATAATAATTGTTTCAACAAATTTTGATGGAAAAATTGGGTAACCATTGGAAAACATGGAACCTAGATGTAGACTATAACTTTCAGATAAAAGAAATAAAAATGAACCATAGATCTAAATGTAAAATGCAAAATTATAAATCTTCTAGAAGTAAACATAGGAGAAAGTCCAAAGAATCTCCATTTGGTGTTGAGTCTTACATACAATACCCAAAAGCATAATCCATAAAAACAGAAAGTAGTAAGATAAACTTTATTAAAATTGGAAAATTTAGCTCTGTGAAAGACACTGTTAAGAGACTGAAAAGACAAACCACAGACTAGGACAAGTTACTTGCAAAACCATATTTGATAAAGGACATATATCCAAAATATGCAAAGAACTATTAACAATCAACAATAAGAAACCAATTAAAATGGGTAAAAGCTCTGAACAGACACCGCATCAAAGAAGATGTGCAGATGGAAAATAAGCATAATTTCTCATTAAAGAACTGCAAGTTAATGATTCTCATTATTTGTGGGATCTAAAAGTCAAAACAGCTGAACTCATGGAGATAGAGAGAAAAAGAATGGTTACCAGAAGCTGGGAAAGTTACGAGGGTCAGGGAGAGGTGGAAATGGTTAATGGGTACACACACAAAATTAGAAAGAACAAATAAGAACCTAGTATTTGACAGCAAAATAGGGTCACTATTGTCAATAATAATTTAATTGTACATTGTTAAAAAACAACAAAAAAGTATAATTAGATTGCTTGTAACACAAAGGATAAACGCTTGAGGGAAAATGAATATCCAATTTACCCTGATGTGATTATTATACATTGCATACCTGTATCAAAACATCTCATGTACCCCACATACACACCTACTATGTACCCACACACATTAAAGATTAGAAAAACAACAACGAGACACCACTTCACACTTACTAGAGTGGCTAAAATCCAAATAATCCTGACATTACCTACTACTGCAGAGGATGGGGAACAACAGGGGCTCATATCTTTGTTGGTGGGACTGCAAAAGGCTAAAGCTACTTTGCAAAATAGTTTGACAATTTTTTATAAAGTAAAACGTGATCTTAACTTATGATCTAGCAATTATGCTGCCAGGTATTTATCCAACTTACTTGAAAACACAAATACACAAAAACCTGCACAAAAACGTGAATAAAGCCAGTCTAAAAAGGGTACATTTTTGTGCTCTCAATTGTATGGCATTCTGGAAGAAGCAAAACTATAATAATGGTTAAAGAAAATTACTGGTTCCCATGGGTTTGAGAGCAGGAGATGGGATTAAATAGGTGAAGCACAAAAGACATGTTAGGTGAAACGCATCTGTATGATTTACTAAGGGTTGATGTATGAAGCTGTGCATTTGTGAAAACTCATGGAACTTAGGACAAGGAGTGAACTTTAATGTATGCAAATTTAAAAATCATTGAGAAGGTCATGGAATACTTGGACGGAATGTATAACATGACAAAGCAATCTAAATATAGTATAAACACATGAAGCAACTTCACTGATAAATGTTGGGTGAAAGGATATGGCACGCTTTTATATAAAGGTATAATATCTTTTTATATAAAGTTACGTAAGTAACTTTGGAAATGAGTGGAGACAAGGAGTATAAAATTTCAGTTATGCAAGATGAGTAAGTTCTGGAGATCTGCTGTACAGCAGCATGCTTATAGGTAGCAATACTTTTCACTGTACATTTCAAAATCTTTTAAGAGGGTAGATCGTGTGTTGTGTTCTTACTATAATAAAAATACTTTTAAAATACACTAAAGGCAAAAGAAACTACATAAACACTAGGCTGTAGTTGATAAAACTGTTTATCATGAGAGTATGGGCTAAAAAATGTGGTATTATTTCTTTATATATAGATATAGATATAGATATAGATATAGATATGCTCAAAACAAACAATTATATAAATACATGGCCAATGGTGGAAGCTAGATTTCTTACTGTCGGAGTGGGAGGTTGCTGGTTAACAAATAGAAGAGCCTGCAGTAATCCATGTGGTTATGGATCGTGGTTGGAAATATCTGTATGAAGTTATATTTGGATTCATATAACTACATATGATTATATAGAAATATTTATGGATATGTGCATACACAGAGTTTAGAATACAAACATATATGTCCATGCTCTGATAGCTGAGAGGTATAGATGCATCAATACTACAGTAACAATGAGCATATCTAACCTAGAGATCTGTTTTTCTAATACAGTTCTCTGGTAAAGGGAACAAGAACTCTTTGGAGAAGCTGCTGATTTTATGACTGGACAGAAATTATGCAAGGTGAGCCCGGAGTATTTCGTAGTACTGAAAAGTAAGTAAGTGCCAGGGAAGAAAAGCCCTTAATAATGGAAGTATGTCATTTTTTATATATTATACTTTATGTTCTAGGGTACATGTGCACAACGTACAGGTTTGTTACATAGGTATACATGTGCCATGTTGGTTTGCTGCACCCATCAACTCATCATTTACATTAGGTATTTCTCCTAATGCTATCCCTCCCCCAGCCCCCACCCCCTAACAGGCTCTGGTATGTGATGTTCCCCTCCCTGTGTCCATGTGTTCTCATTGTTCAACTCCCACTTATGAGTGAGAACATGTGGTGTTTGGTTTTCTGTCCTTGCGATATTTTGCTGAGAATGATGGTTTCCAGCTTCATCCACATCCCTGCAAAGGACATGAACTCATCGTTTTTTTATGGCTGCATAGTATTCTATGGTGTATATGTGCCATATTTTCTTTATCCAGTCTATTATTGATGGACATTTGGGTTGGTTCCAGTCTTTGCTATTGTGAACAGTGCTGCAATAAACATACATGGGCATGTGTCTTTATAGCAGCATGATTTATAATCCTTTGAGTATATACCCAGTAATGGGATTCCTGGGTCAAATGGTATTTCTAGTTCTAGATCCTTGAGGAATTGCCCCACTGTCTTCCACAATGGTAGAACTAATTTACACTCGCACCAACAGTGTAAAAGCATTCCTATTTCTCCACATCCTCTCCAGCATCTGCTGTTTCCTGACTTTTAATGATTGCCATTCTAAATGGTGTGAGATGATATCTCACTGTGGTTTTGATTTGCATTTTGCTGATGACTAGTGATGAAAAGCATTTTTTCATATGTCTGTTGGCTGCATAAATGTCTTCTTTTGAGAAGTGTCTTTTCATATCCTTTGCCCACTTTTTGATGGGGTTTTCTTTTTTCTTGTAAATTTGTTTAAGTTCTTTGTAGCTTCTGGATATTAGCCCTTTGTCAGATGGATAGATTGCAAAAATTTTCTCCTATTCTGTAGGTTGCCTGTTCACTTTGATGATAGTTTCTTTTTCTGTGCAGAAGCTCTTTAGTTTAATTAGATCCCATTTGTCTATTTGGGCTTTTATTGCCATTACCTTTGGTGTTTTAGTCATGAAGTCTTTGCCCATGCCTATGTCCTGAATGGTATTGCCTAGGTTTTCTTCTAGGGTTTTTATAGTTTTAGGTCTTACATTTAAGTCTTCAATCCATATTGAGTTAATTTTTGTATAAGGTGTAAGAAAGGGATCCAGTTTCAGCTTTCTATATATGGCTAGCCAGTTTTCCCAGCACCATTTATTAAATAGGTAATCCTTTTCCCATTGCTTATTTTTGTCAGGTGTGTCAAAGATCAGAGGGTTGTAGATGTGTGGTATTATTTCTGAGGCCTCTGTTCTGTTCCATTGGTCTATATATCTGTTTTGGTACTAGTACCATGCTGTTTTGGTTACTGTAGCCTTGTAGTATAGTTTGAAGTCAGATAGCGTGATGCCTCCAGCTTTGTTCTTTTTGCTTAGGATTGTCTTGGCTATGCAGGCTCTTTTATCAAGCTACCACTGACTTTCTTCACAGAATTGGAAAAAGCTACTTTAAATTTCATATGGAATCAAATAATGGGAGTATTTCAAAGGGACACAGGAGTCAAATGAAACAGTCCCCAATGGCCAAAGCTGGAATAATTTGAGCAATAATATAAATAAGGTTGGTTTGGATTATAACCCAAAGTATAATACAAAAATCAATTAATTCATACTGGCATAAATAAATCATGGGATGGATAAATAAATGGGAGAGAAGAGACAAATATCATGTACAGAAGAACTTCAAATAATTTATGTAGATACTCTGCTTTCAAGCAGGTGAGGCAGAACTCCACCCTCCTCAAGTGTTGACTGCACATATTGACTTTCTTCTAAAGACTATAGTAGGGAAGGGGAAAAAACAAACTATGTTGGAGGAGCCTCATACAGTACCTCTGCTGGGTGAGCAAGATTAACGTTAATAGTAATAAGTAATGTTGATAATAGGTATTTTTGATATAATATCATTAACATGGCAATTTATCCCCATGTTTTTCCTTCCTCAAACCCATAACCCAAGTCTAATCATAAGAAAAACATCAGGAAAATCCAAAATGTGGGGTAGTCTATAAAACACCTAACTGGTACACTTCCAAAGTTTTAAGTTCATCAAAATAGGAAAGGTCTATGAAAATGTAAAAGCCAAGAGGAGTCTACAGGTAATGTGGCTAAATGTGATGTGATATTCTGGATAGCATCCTAGGACTGAAACAGGATACTAGGTAAAAACTAAGAATATCTAAATATAGTATGGACTTTAGTTAATAATAATATCAATGCTGGCTCATTAATTGTGACAACTATGCCAGAGTAATTTAAGATGTTAATGAGAAGGGATATTGGATGGGAATTTGTTGGAATTCTCTGTACTGCCTTGGCAATTTTTCTTTAAAACTTTTCTAAAATTAAAAGTTAATTTTAAAAAAATTAGTTTTCTTAATAAAAAAATCAGTATGACACATGGTGTGCAGTTAATGATACATTCTATAGATTGTGATAATATGAGACAACCCACTTGACCATTGTTATTTCTTTTAAAATAAAAATTTCTACAATCTAGAAAATTCAGTCATATTGTTAGGAGATAATAATACTGGGATGGCTGGGATGTCACTCTTGAAATGAAAACAGGTTTTTTATAAGACCTTAGTCTCCACTGGCCACTTTTACATTCTCACCTCCTGCAATTAACTAACCTCATATCCCAATGGAATCCATTTACTCAAATGTGAAAGAGAACCTAGTGATTCTTTATAATAATGTCCTCTCAATTCTCATAATTTCTATACTGTTGTCTTTATTTATTGTAATGTTTTCTTTTTACATTCTCAAATCTGCTCTTTCTTACACATCTTCTGTAGCTCTGAAAATGTATTTATCCTATAGCTGTTACTCTTTCTTTCATTATTTACATAAGGCTGCTTCCTTACTGTCACTTCCTTTTTTCTTTATTTCGGTCTAAATTTTATAACCATCTTAAATTCATGTTCAAAGTTTACATACTTACTTGTATGCAATGGATTCTAAAACCCATATCTTATCATCTTGATCCATTTTTTACATCCCAGTCTGGTTTCAAACTGCCTTCCAATCATTCTACATGGGCTTGCAACATGCACGTCACATTCAGCATTCACCCCTCACGTAGACAGCATTCTGCCCATTATCAACTGCTTTTAACATTTGTATCAAAACACACTTGTTGTCATGGATAGGTCTTTCTTAGTTTCTTCATTCTTTTATCTGTCATTTCTCTGTTTCTATTTAATTTCCTTTATGTAATCTTCATGCTTCATTCTACTTGTTTTGCCTTTATCTCATTGACTCCACTCATGCTTTTATCTTTCCTTAAAATTGTCTTTATAACTTTGTTTCTTGACTTTAGCAATAAATGTAGGGATTGCCTTTAAAATGACACTCTGTTGATTTTTGAAATACATACTTTGCTTGGAAAAAAAATTCTCTGAGGATGCAATTGCAGAGTTTTGCAGAAGACAGAAGTAAAAAGCAAATTTTATATTTCATTCATCATTTCAGTAGGTAAGTGATGAAAGAGAAGCAGCTAAACATGATCTTGTATGTGATTAGGTGGATGGCATGCCATTTAGATAAATACAGACAATAGAGAAACAGATTTGGAAGAGAAAATGATAAAGTATAATTTTACACATATTCCTCCCATGTGGCCAAATAGAGTTCAATACACAAAAATATCTGCAAAGATATAGATAATGTATATGTTCTTAAGCTGGGGTGTTTTCAGTTTATTATTATGCTTTATAATAGTTAAATGTATTGCAGATATTGTGTTTATATCAAATATTATATAATAGACATATAAATTATTAAGTGTTCACCAAGATGAAGCCATTTCTCTGCACTTTCCACAAATATAAATTTCTATTAGAAGCTCTCTTACTATTTGCACATAGGACAATTAAGCTTAAAGCTTCCTAGGCTCACAGCCACACAAAACTTTCTTTCTGCAAACTGAATAGACAATTATTTATTTAATAATGGTCACTCGCTTTCTCTCCACCCACTCTTACACTTCTCCATCTGCTCTGTGAGAGGGAGGGGTGAGTGAGGAAAATATGTTAAATAGCCACAAAAGTCACAGATCCCTGTTTTTATTACTACTTCCATACCATTAACATTAGAGTAAAACAATTGCTCTTTAAATAAAATGAATCTTATTAGTTTATTAGTATTTCTTAAAACCCCAAATTTAACCAATTACACAAGGGGTTCATTATGTTTACTTGAGAAACGTGCTGTTAATCTAATCCTTTATTTTTTCTCTACAATTTGCCATTTTCCAAGTTCAGATCTTCTATTTTTTTTTTTTTTTTGGCCTAGGTTATTTGCCATGGTCCTAACATGTCACTCCCACTAATTTTTCTAAAAGAGTAATGGAGGGAGGCTTGAAGCAATGGATATAAAGCCACACTATTATAAAGACATAAAGCATACCTAATTTAACAAATAAATCCAAGAGATTCACAATAAAAATACCCTAAAGATATTCTCCAATCAAATTAAGAAGTCCATTTGGTGAAAATGAAACATACAAACAGGATTTGGGGAGGTGGAACAAAAAGAAGAATAATGTGGAGGGGAGAGCTTTACCATATACAGCCATACATCACTTACTGAAGGGGACACGTTCTGAGAAATTCATCCTTAGGCAATTTTGTTGTTGTGTAAATATCATAGCACATACTTACACAAACCTAGATGGTATAACCTACTACACGCCTACACTATATGGTATAGCCTATTGCTCCTAGGCTACAACCCTGTACAGCATATTACAGTACTGAGTACTGTAGGCAATTGCAACACATTGATAAGTATTTGTGTATCTAACCATATCTAAGGTCGGGCGCAGTGGCTCACACCTGTAGTCCCAGCACTTTGGGAGGCTGAGGTGGGTGGATCAGTTGAGGTCAAGAGTTCAAGACCAGCCTGACCAACATAGTGAAACCCCATGTCTGCTAAGAGTACAAAAATTGGCTGGGCTTGGTGGTGGGGGCCAGCAATCCCAGCTACTCAGGAGGCTGAGGCAGGAGAATCGCTTGAATCCAGGAGAAGGAGGTTGCAGTGAGCCAAGATGGTGTCATTGCACTCTAGCCTGGGCAAAAATAGCGAAATTGAGTCTCAAAATAAAAAATAAACATATCCAAACATTGAAAAGATGAGTAAAAATAGGATATTATAATCTTATGAAACCACAATAACACATGTGGTCCATCTTTAACTGAAATGTCATTATGCAGTACAAGAATATATGGTAAAATTACAAAACATACATGTGTATCACACATAGTTATGCACACACATCCCTTGGTCCTGGTATAGAGATGGAATTAGCTGTTAACATAATATATCTGAGATCCCAATTCCAATGATAAACTGAATTCAGAATATATTGCCAACATATAAAATCAACAAGAGAAGATGTCTTTTTTAATAAGTGCAGTTGAAACAACTGGTTAGGATTTTAGACAAAAGACTGCGGTAAAATAAATTCCAGATAAACACAATATTTTAAGAATATTAATCTTAAATGAATAAGAAAACGTGTTTGAGGTATATATTTCAAAATCTTACTTTTGGTGAAAACCTTTGTAATGACAGAAAACCAAACATTCATAATATATAATTAGATTCTATCAATATTTAGTACAGTCATTTGTAAAAAATATATACTATTATCAAATCAAAAAACATAAACACACAAAGCAAATTTTTAAAAAACAGGCAATGAGCTAATAAACATATATAACACCCACTTCCTGCAGACATAGCAGTAAGTTTTAAATCAATAAAATTTGGAGGTATGTTCATGTTTGATATTATTCTTATTTAGAAGTTTTGTTCAACACTCTACTCTCTATTGAACTGCGATTTCTTCCCCTATATCACATTACTAACCTTGAGATTATCCCTGCCAGTTAAAGGGAAGGACAAGAGATATTTTGCTTTTGTTGACTAGGCTTTAAAAAGAAAAATAAGAAACAAAACAAATAAACAAAAACAACAAAAAATACTCAGTAGATTTCCAAATTAAAAACAAAGAAATAAAACAAAAGAGACTTGAATAGTTTCTCTCTGACCCTATGTCTAGGTCTTATTATCCTATGGTAGATGACTGTAAAATAATGAGGATTCATGGGAAAACTGTAGTACCAAACCTTAGATATAAACAGTTAAAATGAGTAAAATGCCCCTTTCCCCCAGCCTCATTCAAAGAAGAGTAAGAAGTCAAAAATCCAAGATGAGATATATTTGAAAATACTAAACAAAGAAAGAAAATGTTGAGGAATCGGCAAAGATGAGAAAAGCACATGAGATGCAAAGAAAATTGAAGATTTCGTTTCATTTTCTTTTTTCTTTTTTTTTCTTAGCCAGGCACAGTGGCTCACGCCTGTAACCCCAGCACAATGGGAGGCCGAGTCAGGCAGATCACGAGGTCAGGAGATCAAGACCATCCTGGCTAACACGGTGAAACCCCGTCTCTACTGAAAATACAAAAAATTAGCCCGGCGTGGTGGCGGGCGCCTGTAGTCCCAGCTACTCGGGAGGCTGAGGCAGGAGAATGGCGTGAACCCGGGAGGCGGAGTTTGCAGTGAGCCGAGATAGTGCCACTGCACTCCAGCCTGGGCGACAGAGCGAGACTCCATCTCAAAAAAAAAGAAAAATTGTCTACAGAATTCTTTTTTTTTTTTAATTTTGTCTATAGATTCTTTTTTTAAAATTTTGTCTATAGATTCCTTATTTTTTTTTTTGAGACGGAGTCTCACTGTCGCCCAGGCTGGAGGTCAGCGGCGGTATCTCGGCTCACTGCAAGCTCCGCCTCCTGGGTTCACGCCATTCTCCTGCCTCAGCCTCCCGAGTAGTTGGGATTATAGGCGCCCGCTACCACGCCCGGCTAATTTTTTTGTATTTTTAGTAGAGGCGGGGTTTCACCGTGTTAGCCAGGATGGTTTGGATCTCCTGACCTCGTGATCCGCCCGCCTCAGCCTCCCAAAGTGCTGGGGTTACAGGTGTGAGCCACCGTGCCCAGACTGGTTTTAAAATTTAAGATTTTAATTACAAATTAAATTTTAAATTCAAAAATTAATCCTGGACAAAAACGAACATTTCATAAAATATTTCTTACACATTCAAAAATTATAGAACACATTGTTTTGATAGTAGAACTTAATAGGAGATGCAAATCAACCACCATTTTCTTTTTCTCTTCTATTCGAGAAAGAAAGCTCTGTTTCTTTTTCTATTATGAAAACCAATATTTCTCTTTCTATTTATTATAAACTCCACACAACTACAGAACAATGACATTTACAAATGCATTTTCTCTTCATAGATTTTGCTTCCTTCTATTCAATAAGTTAGCTCCTGTTTACCTCAAATCTAAGATTGAATGTCAGATCCAAAGAGAAGCCTTCCCTTACCTCCCTCTGTTGCATCCACCTGTTTTACACTTTATACTCTTCTTATAGTATGCAATTAGTATAGATATATAGTTGTTGTCGTTGCAGTGGTAGTTGTTTTGGTAGTGGCGGTTGTGGTGATTGTTGCTGTCATTAAAATTGTGCATAAATCTGTTAATTTATATTAATATCTGCTATTAGTTGCTTGCAATAATATATCTGATATTTACATATATATTGGTAATATGACAAACAAAGCTTGTGCTCTTTAAAATAATAATTTATCAGTAATTTTAACATAGTAATATACATTAGCAACTCCTGAAGGGGTCAGATGTGTGTATTTTCTGAACATATTGATTAGAAAATATATGATGTGTTTTTTCTTTGGTTACTTTGCCAGTTTTAGATGATTTCTATTTTTTTGCATGCCTGCGTGGGCACATTTGTGTGTGTGTTCTCCACTAATCTCAGAAGCAAGTGATTATGTAAAGTAAAAATAGATCTGGCATTTGATTCTGCAAATAAGTGTAAGAGACATTATTTTAATTCACACCTTGCATCGTGTATGGGCAGCCAACTCACCAGTCATCATGATTAACAACTGTGTTATTACCAAAAGAGAACAATAATATAAAATATTCTCCACTTATTGTGTGCCTACCATGAGGCAAGCTCTGTGCTGGGCTCTATGAAAACATGATTCATGAACCTAATACCAACTTTCCCAATGCCTCCATATTGTAATTGGTTAAAATCCACAATTATAGCTGTAAATAAGCTGTAAATAACAGCCTTGGCCACGTACTGAGTAAGAATTAGAACCCAGGTCAGACAGAGCCAAAGGCCTTGTGCTTTCACTGATCAGTGTAGCCTCTCTAAACCCCTCTGTTCAGGAAAAAAAAAAAAAAAAAAAAGATGAGAACCTCCCTGGAAGACATTTATAAGAATTACATATCATATGAGAAAGTAGCCATGCCAGTACCTGTAACACAGGGGGGGTTTAATACATATCTGTTGAGAAAAAATTCACACCTGAGAGATACATCTATGTGTTTACTATCTATGAATCACTTGACCCCACCAGGCTAGAAACCCTGTGAAGGCAAGAATATGGAGGTTTCCCAACAGCAAATCATTCAACAGAGAAGCCAATACTGGAGAAATAACTGAGAGATTGGAGAATATGAAGTCCAATTGCTCAACAAACATTTACCAAGCAGTATGTGTTAGGCAATCTTTCAGGCCCTGGGGAAATAAAGAGTTATGTGCACACCTCATAGACAGAAGTGTTATAGGGTTTGAAAACAATGTGGTAAGGCCTAAAAAACTTCAAGATAAATGGTATATTGGCCACAATAACTTAGTTTTTTTTTTTAAAGTAAAACTGCCAAGCTATAATTTAAAACATTATTTTGGAAAAAGATATCTTACCATGTAATTGTTTTCCAAGGGAACAGTTATGTAAATAATCTTTTTCAAATAGACTTCCACTTATTTAGTATATAGTCTGACTATTACACTTAGCTTTGTCAGCTGAATGGATGATACTCTGTTCTTGCCTCATTTGCTTTCCTTGATAGTTATTCAATGAAAATAAATAATTCACCTAAATTGTCACAGACTGAAATTCAGGATCTTTGCTCACTCCAGACATGAATTTAACTAGTAACAGCATAATTACCTGCTAATTGTTCTGTGATTACATTTACCTTAAGCTGTTACAACTTTAAAAAGTACCCTTATTGCAGCTCAAATAATAGCATTTCTCCCTCCATCATCTTATCTTCGGCTTAACTGCAATGCAAAATAAAGGTATGTAATTTCTTTGAAACATGATCATCTCATTCTGGACATTAAATAATGTTAAAAAGAAAGTTATTAATGAGGACAGCTTGTCCTCTACACAAGTCCAAAAGGGAAATTTATCAGGAGGCACAAATAACGTGTTAATATAAAAAAACACTCTAAAATTACATGTCTAATTGCAAGCTTGTTTTGATCTTCTCTTTCTATAAAGCTCAACTGGTGACTGAAATCTTTTTAGAGTAATGGTAATTGGGCCAGCATGGATCACTGACAAAGACAACTAATATTGTTTATAACTACTGATCTTCCCATGCCTTCTTAATGAGACAACTTTCAGCCTGAAGGAGAAGGGATTTCGTTAACCAAATGGAGAAATAGAAACTGTCAAGTATTTCCTTAGATTATTTACTGGTTCATTCATATCTTTTTAATTTTTTTTGAGTTATCTGATGTTGATGTTTTATTCTGGTAGTGAGTCTGTTTAGTTTATAGGCTCTGACTGACATTTGATCCTTTGCCCTGTTCAGCTTGAGATTGACGGTTCTGCTTCTCCCAGAAACTGAGATACTCCTGAACAGCAAAAAGAATATGTGTGAAGGAAGCTATCCTCAATCCTGTGGGTGTGTATGCGAGACCTTGTTGGAATTGAAATGAAATTCAACACCCACTGACAATCATGCCACACCCATCCCCACAAACAAGGATGCCTGGCTCACCCTCTTAGCCCTGGTTTCTTGAAGGAGGAATCTGAGTTAACTAGTCTTTTTGAAAGATCTCAGCTTTTCTAAACAGAAGGTGGGTGGGAGATTGGTCTATTTTGGGACCCATGTGTTAAAGCAGGAGTGGTAACACCTCAGGAAAAGCTTCATGTTGGTAGCTGATATTAGCAATGAGTGCCTCCGAAATGTGAATTTGGAACTGCATAATGATTCTGCTGCCTCTTTTTTCCAGATCCAACTTCCCCTTCTGCCAACCTGGTGGTGTATCTCTGTATCTATAGATTGTATACACATATGTGTATATATACACATATGTAATATATAATTTATTATGAAAGGCAATAAGAAAATGGGTAGCATAAGGAAATGAAGCTGTGTGCAGGGACTTTGGAGTCAAAGAGGTTCAAATTGTAACCAGTTAATTTTACCCTTTTGAAACTCAATTTCTGAAAACATAACATGTGAGAAGTACTAAATCATAGTGTTACTGTAAGGACTGAGTGGGATAATGTGCTTAAAGTACTTAGTATAGAGCTTTGAGGAATCGCCACACTTTCTTCCACAGTGGTCAAACTAATTTACATTCCCACTAACAGTGTAAAAGCATTTTCTTTCTCCACCCCCTCACCAGCATCTGTTGCATTTTGCCTTTTAATAATAACCATTCTGACTGGCATGAAATAGTATTGCATTGTGGTTTTGATTTGCATTTCTGTAATGATCAGTGATGTTGAGCTTTTTTTAGTGTTTGTTGGACGCATGTATGTCTTCTTTTGGGAAGTGTGTATTCATGTCCTTTGCCCACTTTTTAATCAAAGACCTAGAAGCAGAAATAGCATTTGACCCAGCAATCCCTTTACTGGGTATATACTGAAAGGAATATAAATCATTCTATTACAAAGATACATGCATGCATATGTTCATTGCAGCACTATTCACAATAACAAAGACACGGAATCAACCTAAATGCTTATCAATAATAGAGTGGATAAAGAAAATGTGGCCTATATATACCATGGAATACTTTGTGGCCATAAAAGGAAATGAAACACTGTCATTTGCAGAGACATGGAGGGAGTTAGAAGCCATTATCCTCAGCAAACTAACACAGGAATAGAAAACCAAACACTGCATGTTCTCACTTATATATGTGAGCTGAATAATGAGAACACATGTAGATATGGGAGGAAACCACACACACTGGGACCTGCCAAAAGGGAGGGTTGGGTAAAAGAGAACATCAGAAAGAATGGCTAACGGATGCTTGGCTTAATATCTAGGTGATGGAATGATCTGTGCCACAAACCACCATGGAGCACACTTACCTATGTAACAAACCTGCACATGTACCCTTGAACTTAAAATAAAAGTTGAAAAGAGAAAAAAAAAGGAAAAGAAAAAAAAAGTGCTTAGTATAGTGCCTGACACATAGAATGTACCATTATTACAATATTATTATTAAACTCATGTCATGTTCTGAATGCCTGGTATCAACACTATTTTTCTGTAAGTATTCAATTCTGTCTTTGGCAAATCTAAATATTTCAGTAAAATGCTAACAGATTTTATTTAATTGAATGTGTCTGTGTGTGTGTGTGTGTGTAATTTATTTAAAATATTAAACTGCTGTATCTGACCCTGTGTTTTTCCATTTTCTACAATGATTTATAGTTCCTGTACTCTTTAAAGAATGATTTAATTTCACTGTCTCATTGACAGATACATTAATTTCTAAACTTTATTTGCCAAAAATATTAGTATTGGTGAACCTGTGTTTTGTGGCTTTGTAAACTGATTATTGTAAGTGAAGCAATATATTCCAAAGTTCTAGTTCTTATCTTATTTATTTATTTATTTATTTATTTGAGACAGAGTCTCGCTCTGTCACCTAGGCTGGAGTGCAGTGGCACGATCTTGGCTTACTGCAACCTCCGCCTCCCGGGTTCACGCCATTCTCCTGCCTCAGCCTCCCAAGCAGCTAGAACTACAGGTGCCCACCACCACGCCCGGCTAATTTTTTGTATTTTTAGTAGAGATGGGGTCTCACCATGTTAGCCAGGATGGTCTCGATCTCCTGACCTCATGATCCACCCGCCTCGGCCTCCCAAAGTGCTGGGATTACAGCATGAGCCACTGCGCTTGGCCTATCTTAACTTTTTTATTAACTATAAAACTTAAATTCACCCACCATAGGTGAACATTTTGATGATTCTTAGGATATTTATATACAGTAAGTTTATACATTATCGTGATTCAGTTTGATAATATTTTCATCACCACAAAAAAAAGTTTTCTCATGTCTATTGGCATGTAAATTCTTACTTCCATCCCAACCTGAAGCAACCATTGATGTACTTTGTCTTACTTTATGCCTCTTCTGAAGTTGAATATAAATAGAACTATGCAATATTTACTCATTTGTGTCTGACTTATTTAGTATGTTTTTGAGGTTTATCCATGTTGTTACATTTATCTGTAATTATTTTTTGTTTTAGTTGTAGAGTAGTATTCCATTTATGGATGAATCTCATTTTGTTTGTCCATTTGCACATTGATGGGTAGTGTATTTTCAGCCTAAAGTTAACATAAGTAACATTCCTGTAAATATTTGTTCCTTTATCTTTTTCAAATGAATGGATCTTTTGGAATCTAACAAATTTAGCTCCTGTTCTCAAAGAAAAGGAAAAGTGTACCTCAACAAAAAAGAGTATTCAAGATTCAGTTTAAGGTTACAGAGCTACTTGAATCCTGAATGTCACTATAGTTCCCCAGATTCTCAAATTAAAAGTTTTTTTCTAAGGACATGCAGATCATATTTTTAAGAATCAGACAAACATTCTCATTTCTTTGTATACAATTATAATGCTACTGTGTTTGAGAGAAGATGAAGCAATTGGCTCCCTAAGAACTAAAGTCATTTATCAAACTAATCATGATAAACCACACATAAACAGAGTGGCCTGGGGACAAAAAAAAAAAAAAGAGCTGTGAACTGTTGTCACATCTGTTATGTTGGCAGTACTCTAACAGACAAGGCACTGGGCATCTACACCCTGGGAAATGTATAATGTTGTAAAGCAGCAAGACACTTCAATATAATGACTTGACCTCACATCTTAAATACTGCAAAAAAGGAACAAAAACTGATGCAGATAATCACAATCTATCGTGACTCTTTAAGCATCTGCCACATGCAGTATGCTAAGAGGTATGAAGGAGACGAGTGTCAAGTGTGGTGCCTGCCCACAAGGAACTTGGAGTTCACTGGTCCTCCCAAGTTACAGAGAAAAGCTCCTCCTATTGAGTTCTCCGAAAATAGTGTCTAAGTGCCAATTTCAACATCATGGAGTCATTTTAAAATCACTTCCTGCTTGATTTATGAAGGACCCACAGTCAGAAGCTGAGTTGTTTCTAAAACTATAATTGTGTAGATATGTTGCCAAACACAGATTAGGCATTTAATTCATTATGGCTGTTAAGACCTGTCCCATTCCATTAAAATCCAGATATAATAGTTTATTTATTATTATAACTAATAAATGTTTATTTATTATTATTAATAAATAATAATAAAATAATTGATTAATGCCATAATGGAGGTACATTAGTCCATTTTCATACTACTATAAAGAAACATCCCAAACTGGGTTATTTATTAAGAAAAGGAGGTTTAATACACTCATAATTCCACATGGCTGGGGAGGCCTCACAATCACGGCAAAAGACGAAGGAGAAACAAAGGCACATCTTACATGGTGGAAGGCAAAAGAGCATGTGCTAGGGAACTGCTCTTTATAAAACCATCAGATCTTGTGAGACTTATTCACTATCAGGAGAACAGTATGGGAAAAACCCACCCCCATGATTCAATTACCTCCCACTGGGTTCCTCCCACAACATGTGGGGATTATGGGAGCTACAATTCAAGGGGAGATTTGGGTGGGGACACAGCCAAATCATATCGGGAAGCATAAGCAACATACTGACCAAGCATAAAGAAAGCAGCAGTTGTCATAATTCTGCCTGGGTAGGAGAGGCATTCAAAGAAAACCACTGAAAGATTTGAAGAGGTGGACTGAGTTTTGGGAGACGAGCAGAATTTCAGAGAATGGAACAGAAATGAAAATTAAACGAGTATTTTATGCAGAGAAAAATTATGTAAAATAAAAAAAAGACATTCATGCCTGAAAATGTGGAATATTCAAGAACCAGCAACTTTTCAGAGGTGGTTAGAATGGGTGTAGTGAAACAAATAGAGTGGAATTTTGTTCATCTCAGGCTTTTAGCAGACAGGAAGGCAGGACAAAGTGTCGAAGGGGATAGTCCAGTGAGGCTGATCCCCAGCTGTGCCCTAGGTTACTGCTTCTCACTGAGATGTTACTGTAGCCTGTGTTTCCATCATATTTCCTGGTATAGAAAACTCATTTACACTGTCTCAGTTGCTCTTCAGCACCACCTGGATATGGAAAAGGGACAGGCATCTTTGGCCCCATCAGAAAGCCTTTCCAGAGCGTTAATTGATTTTTTGCCACATCATACAGATAGGTAGATTTCGGATTTAAAGTTAGGATGGCTAACTACAAATATAATAGTATTCTTCAATTGCCCTTGCTCTTTGAAGTCAGACTATTAATATGGATGAAAAGAAGGTTTCCAGTAGTGATAGCAATGATATTATTTCCCATGTTTATTAACTTATTCCAAGATTACTTATTTTCAAATATCTTCGACTCTATATTATATTAGTCCATATTCCAATTTAAATATGTGACTTTTTAGTCTGAAAACAAAGAGCAAATCTTAAGCCAGACACATTAACTAAACACGGAGTGTTAGAAAATGAGAAAATACTGAGCCTCTTTCCGCAGCTTTCTGGTGGTAGGTATCTCAAAATGACCATAATATTGAACAAGATCATCAGTCTAACCAAATATACTTCTCATTACATATCATTCTGCAAAGTCAAGTTGTTTGTCAACACCAAGGTGTCATAAAAAATTAAAACTGTTATTTCTCTTTCTGTCTCTCATACACACACAGACATAAATCTAAAGAATACAAAAATATAGTGCACCCTCTTTGGCTAGAAAACTGCTCTGCAGCATCTTGAAGGGTGTATTCCAATGCATTTGGGGAGCATTTACATACAGAAATGTGTCAATTTGTAGCCTTTGGGTTTTCTCTGCACAGATAGTCTCATTACCAGAAATGGCTAAGGATGCCTGATGGGCTGCTTCCTGTGAAGGCTGCACCCTCCCTCCCTTCACCCTTTCTCTGTGATGACATATGTTCTGGTGCATTTGTCAGAAGAAGATGGGACATATTGAATGTGAAAATTTCTGTTGCCTTTTTTTTCTTTTAAAGGATAGAAAAAATAAAAAATGTTATTGAAACATTTATAAATAAATAGGAAAATATAAACGTTCTGTGAACTAAATGGTTCTTGTAAAATTAGGCTGCCATTTTTACTAGTACTCTAAATAATATTAGAACTTAAAGACAGAAGGATTCTAAGTATCTTGAGGGCTGTTAGACTAGTTTATGTCAACATTTACTGGAATCATCATCTGAAGACAGGTGATATGAAAAAATAAAAAGACCCTCTGAGGTATTCACTTAGCAATTCTACCACCTAGCATTCACTTAAGCACTCAGCAAGTTGCTAACTGGTTAGAATATGGAATAAGAAAGGGCTCTCTGTTCTTAATGCTTTCATCATGGGAGATGGAGTGGGGAAATAAGCATATAAATGAGTGATTGCACTGAGCATGTTAGGTTGTATCACAGGGATATCACAGGCTAATAAAAACACAGCTATAAGAGTCTTTAGGACAACTTCATACAAATGGACAAAGTCTGAACATTTAAAAATGAGCTGGAGTTAGAGACTTAGAAAATATGAACTAGAAATAGGAATTTTCAGGGAGAAAATCGACTAGCAAAGGCAGTGGTGTTTTTTTTTGTTTGTTTGTTTATTTTTGTTTTTGTTTTCCCCTAAGAATAAGTTAAATGACTAGAGCAAAACATACTTAATAGATGGGGTGTGAAAAGTGCTAGATAGGAAACTACAGAATTACATTTTTGGACAAACTCCTGAATTGGAATTTTAACTGACTCGTTTATTCAACACACTTTTCTTAATCTGCTTCTCTACAAGTTGCTTGTAGTACAGTAAGATTTAAAGAGATGTGGTCCTTACCCTCTTGGAGAATAAGAAATTCTCTAATGGAGTAGGCAGATACTTCAAAATAAGCACCCAAAGAAATATGTAATTAATGTTATTTTAGTAGGGGTCATGAAGACAATTTTAATGTGATATCCAAGGCATTAGTCTTTGGTTATCAGGGAGTTATCAAAAAATTATAAACTTACGAGAGTTATAAGAAAAATCTCAATTAATTCAGAAGAAATAATCTTACATTTCTTCTGAAGAGAATGGATTTATTATTTTTGCAAGAGAATAGATTTTAAGTGTTTTCACTACCAAAAAAACTATAGGAGGTAATGTATGTTAATTAGCTTGATTTAGCCATCCACAATGTATACATAAATCAAAACACCATGTTGTACATCGTAAGTATATGCAATTTTTATTTTTCCATTTAAAAATAAATAAATACATTTTTTAAACCACAGATGATGAAGTTGAGTCATCAAAATTGAAGATATTTCAAGCCATCTTCACCTTAGCTGACCTTTGGACATTAGCAGCAGAGGGATGAAGAGGCAAGAACAATTTTGATGAACTCTCTGATGGAAATGCAATAGATTATATATGAGGAGCAAGTGAGAAGAAAGGATATACTGAGCTTATGCTAAAATTGACAGAGGCATAAAGTCCATGAAAAGACTGGAATATTGAAAGGAACTCAACTCAGTTTACTCCCTCAGAGTAGAAAAATACAAAAGTGCATCCCTGGATAACTGATAGAAAATTTTACAAAATTTAGTTCAATTTGTAGACATTGGCTTTAAAAGAAACTCTCAACAAAGTTAGCATTTTTTTCGCTGTAATATTTAATTTGATGTTTTCCCATTTGCATGATAAGTGAAAGTCATTCACAGTGCTTCTGATGAGCTACTCTTCATTCATTTGATTATCAAAACATTCAATGAGCAACTACATTATATCAGGCACTGCAGAAGGCATTCAGTAACAGTCATGAAAAGGAGAAGGAGACCCTATCCTTACCTGCCATAGATAGTTTAGTAGGCAAAGCAGATACAAATTATGATGAGAGGGAATGTCAGTTACTGAAGGATATGATGACATGGGAAAAAAACACGGGTGCAGTAAAGGTTTATATTAGAAGAAAAAAATGTAACAAAGCTTGAAAGGTCTACAAAATCCAAAAGTGTGTGGAAATACAGCCACTCATAGGAGCAATAATAGCTTCAACTATTCTAAGCTATTCCATGTGTTACGAAGGAAAATATCTTGCATGATTGCCATGGGAGAAAAGAACAATTATCATTATGAGAAAGTTAAAGGGTGGAATAACCCATATTACTGCAAGGAGTAATTTCCTAATGATCAAAACAGGCCGATAATGAAAAAGTCTGACTTCAGACATAGAGAGTTCCCTGCCACTGGAAGCCTTCACACTCAAACTTAAAGAATTCTTAGAAATGGTTTCCTGGGCCAGGCGTGGTGGCTCACATCTGTAATCCCAGCACTTTGGGAGTCTGAGGCGGGCAGATCACCTGAGGTCAGGAGTTCGAGACCAGCCTGACCAACATGGAGAAATCCCGTCTCTACTAAAAATATGAAAAATCAGCTGGGTGTGGTGGCTCATGCCTGTAATCCCAGCTACTCAGGAGGCTGAGGCAGGAGAATCACTTGAACCCGGGAGGTGGAGGTTGCAGTGAGCCAAGATCGTGCCATTGCACTCCAGCCTGGGTGACAGAGTGAGACTCTATCTCAAAAAAAAAAAAAAAAAAAAAAAAATGGTTTCCTGGTTGTTCGAATTCAAATGGTCAGGGTCTAGACAGTTCACAAATATGAATGCAGATTAGTGAGGACTGACCGATTATGGAGAATATATGTCGTATAAAGGATTCGTTTTTATATTGTATTAGGTAGGCACTTATAAATTGTTCATGCACAAACAATAATTTTAGGATACTACAAGACTTTGTTTGGATTTGGTGGCCCACAACCAGCAAGTTTGTGATCTTCATTAGGTTATGTGAAATGTTAAAAGCCAGCTGAGAAAGAAGATCTGAAATGGTTATTTTCCTTTCCACCCTGATATCCAACAGTTTTGTAATTCTCTGATAAAATTTCAGGATCCCGAGAAGCACATCTTTAGGCACAGGCAATTTCCTAGAGTCCTTCAAATTATGCCCTGCTTGTAATCTCTGGTGTGGATAAAAGAACACAGAATGCACACTTGGGCTGCAATACCCCAAGGGTCTTGGCTCATCACTGAATCTTAGTTTCCCACCAGCCGCTTGAAAAACCTTGCTTAATAGAGCTAAGCAGCCAGAGTCCTAAAAGTTAGCCATCTTGCTGAATGAGCCAGAATCCTTTTAGGGAAAAATAAGATGTGGCAAAGACAAATGACTGAAGTCCAGGGCACCTTGTCCTTATATTCCAGTGGACTCCACACTGCCATTGCTCCCTTGCTCCTACTGTCAGACACCACTTTAGTGATCGCACCGTGCCTTGTTGTATAATTGTTAGGAGATGAGCTAGGAACTTACCTGACCCTGCTCTGTAGTTCACTGATGTACAGATGATCACTTGACCCAAATTGGGCCAAGCATAGTATTCTGACTCCCACTGACCACCTTGCTATAGACCTGGGCATTGGCTGGACCAATAATTTCCTCCCTGAGCTGACTGGAGATGGAAAAACAGAAGCTGAATTTATACTACTCAGAATTGTCAGGGGCTGTGTTTTCCATCATGTTAACAACACCACCAAAAAAATACACACCAAAAAAACTGTCTTGCACAGAAACTAGGATTTATGAAAATGCCCTGAAGTTAGACACCACAGCACAAAACTGAGAGCTCCAAAAAGGCTTATGCCTCTGTAACTGCTGCCCTGATGGCTGAGCCCACCCTTCCTCAGGTGGCTTGGTGATTTCGTGAGATTATTTCAGTGTCCTGCTCATGAACCATTCCTTTTCATGTAAGCTCCTGCTTTTATTATCTAATTTACAGCCAAAGTCTTAACAAATACATCCATATTATCTCTTTCAGAATTTGTTTTTGCCAAAATATGTCTTGGCAAATAAAGGAAAGGATGACACTATTTTTCTTCTTCTTTATAATAAAGAACTCACACAAGCAAAAAATATGTAATGTCCATAATAGCTAAATGAAACACTGTAATTAGCTCATTTTATTATAAGTTTTGGACTAAGTGATATAGTCCACCAGTCCCCATGGCAGTCCCTGGTGGAGCCACTGGCTTCTCTTGAGTCATCCACATTCCTCAGAAGCTGGAGAACTAAAGACTTTGCTTCTCCAAGGTCACCACCTGGATGTGTAATGGTCTTTGGCTGGATACATAGGAGATATGGGAAATATAATTAACAAAGTAATTCAGGACCTCTTGTCCTCATATTCTTTGCACTATGTGGGCAATTGTCACTTAGCAGTACCTGAGCAGATGTTATGGAGACAGATGGCAAACTCAGGGGAAGAGTGGTAACATAGAGAGAGCAAGGACTTCAAAAACAGAAAGACCCAGGTTCCAATCGTGATCAGGCCACTCTAGTGTGGGTCAATTGCTTAGTTTCTTTGAACCTCAAGTACTGTATTCCTGCACTATTAAGTACAGGAATTAAGTGAATAAGACATAAAGCATCTTGAGATTTAAATGAAGTCATGTATATGAAATGTCTTATACCCAGTCTAGATATAAATTATTTCCTTCCCAACCCAATCCCTCTAAGATCTCCTCTGAGAGAGCCTAACCAGAAAAGTAGAGGAGGTGAGTAGGAGGAAAGAGATAAAGGAGAGGTTTACATAAATTCACTTTATCATTAGTTCCAAGTTATCTGGCTAAAAGCCAATGCCAGGATAATTGCATTTCAAATGCATCTATGATCCCAGCTGTAGTTAATACTCTGTTTTTCTTTTTCTAAAATAACTTTCCTCTGGGTGTTTTAAGCATATGTGACAGGTTTCCTGGACACTGTCATTCACCCAAACTACAGACCCATCCTCAAACCCCTTTAGTGGTGAGAATGGACAATCAACTAAGTATCCACTACCAACTCTCCATTTTAATGACACAGGGAAAATGACCTGCTACAGGGAAAGAATAGAAGATAATAATTTAAAATCATATTTATTGAGCACTTGCCATATGCCAATCATCTGTCTAGCAACTTCAATCAATAAAGAAACTTTATAAGAAACATACCTTAGGATTTTTCCTTACATTTGTTAGAAACATCATGTACAAGGCATATTTAAAGGCCATCAAGGATTATGATAGGCATAGGAAATAGAGAGTTGAATAAAACAATGTTTCTGACTCCAGAAGTCCCCAAATAAAAACAGACAGAAATGTAGAAACGTGATCATACAACAATAATAGGGGCTGCTATTTATTATGCAGATATGCATAATATGCCCAATAGGTTATGTATGATAACCTATTGGGATGTTTTTGATATTTCCCTGTTTCACAGAAAAATAAACTAAGATTCAGAGAGTACAATAAATATGACCACTCATTCTTTTAAAATCCTATTGGCATGAATAATACCATTTTAGATATAAAGAGGTACAGATATGTAGATACCACGCTAGGCCTAGGTTTGCCATTAAGGATTTAAATATCTTGGCCAGGCATGGTGGCTCACGCCTGTAATCCCAACACTTTGGGAGGCCGAGGCAGGTGGATCATGAGGTCAGGAGATCGAGACCATCCTGGCTAACATGGTGAAACCCCATCTCTACTAAAAATACAAAAAAAGTAGCTGGGCGTGGTGGCGGGTGCCTGTAGTCCCAGCTATTCAGGAGGCTGAGGCAGGAGAATGGCGTGAACCCGGGAGGTGGAGCTTGCAGTGAGCCGAGATTGTGCCACTGCACTCCAGCCTGGGTGACAGAGCAAGACTCTGTCTCAAAAAAACAAAACAAAACAAAACAAAACAAAAAAAACCATGGACCCTGTTCTCTATGTCATCTGTGTTCAATGCAAGGTTAGTTCTTTAAAACTTGTTAATTTCTTGGTGGCTTCTTAAGAAATACATGCTCAATTCCCAATAGGATCTAGGAGACTAAGATAAATAAAACCTTCACAAAATTTCTAAAGATCTTACCCAGGAATTCTCAGAAAGCTCTCAAATTATTGGTATAAGGGTATCAAGAAAGATGGCAAAAATGACACCAACACCAAAAAAAGAAAGACACATTCCACACCAATATTCTAAATGATGTTAGAACCTGCATTTCTTAACCATGTTACATTTAATTCCAGGCAAACTGTCCTTCTGGGTTTGATTATTTTATGGGTAAAGCCATGTGACATAGTTCCATATTTCTTTGATTATGTTCAACTTTTGCTGAAAAGACTGTCTTTTTCCTATTGAATGATCTTATTCTCCTTGTCAATAATCATTGGATCATATAGCAAGGATTTATTTCTGGAATCTTTATTCTACTCCACTAGTGTATATGCCTGACTTTATGCTAGTACCATACTGTTTAGATTACTGTAGCTTTGTAGTAAGTTTTAAAGTAAGGAAATGTGAGTGCTTCAGCTTTATTCTTCTTTTTCAAAATTTTGTCTATTTGAGGTAACCATTAACTCTGACAGTAAGAAATAATCTGGACTTTTACATTCAAAGACCCAATCCCATGAATATTTATGCCAAAGATCAAGCTTCTATAATACCCCCTATATCCCTATTTATAAAATCAATTATACTATTATTTGGGTAATTTTTATTTTCATTGCTATACTACATGCATGGCACGAAAAAAGATCGAGTACCTGGTAACAGCAGGTACATCCTATGATATATACATGTTATATGTTTACAAGAAATGCTAATGACTGAAGGATGGCTACTATATCACAATGATTTGATACCTACTCTGTTTTGTAAATCATTGTCTTGTGAACTATTTCATTCTTGCCTGAAGTTTAGAGTGCACTGGAAGGACTGTCATGCAGGAATGTTATTTGATTCAAATATAGAAGACATATGGTTCTACTATAAGAGAGAAGTGGCTTTATGAAAGAAAAATGATGGATATGAGGAAAGAATTAAAATTTGCTCAGAAATCTAAAAAATAAAATTTAAAAATGGATAATAAAGAAACTGGAGGAAATCTTACCTCCCAGACATTGATCAAAAGCAATAACTTTTCCAATTAATGTCTTTGGCCTGTCTCTCTGTTGGTATTCTTTTTTCTATTACTGTTTTTGTTACTGTTCTTTTGAGGTGATTGTGGTAAATGTGTTACGGTTTTCTCTTTGCAGTGTTCTCCCAAGCATGATGCTTCTTTATTTTTTCTCAGCATTTCTTCAGTTCATACTTAGAGCTGCTTTGTGCTTTGTACCATCTTGCAGGCCCTTCTGTTATCACAAAGATATTGTATAATCATCCTTGTAATTAGGATATAGTTAAATTTGCAACTTCATTTTGCAGCCATTTGTTATCTAGGTTCTGTGTAATCTTGGCAACCTCGGTGTAGATGACTCATGCTGTGCACTGGGAAGTACAACAGTGCCAAAATTCCACAAACAATCTTGTCAAACAAGAGCTTCCAAGCTCATTACCAGTGTGCACACCCAAACATACCTACAATTCACAGGAGAAAGGAAAGGTTAAAGATGAAGTTAAACTTTTTCCAGTTACTACAACCATGCTGCATAAGGGCCCATGCCAGGGTTGCTTCTTGTGATTCTCCTGGAAACTGGGACTTTCTTATTTTGGCATGAAACACACATGAATACAGACAGGGGATCAGAAGACAAAAATTTAAGAGCAAAGCAACTATAAATTCAATCTCTATATTGGTATTGCTAGTTAAAAGAACTGTGCTTTAACTGTGATTGGGAGAGAGCTGGAATGGCCTAATAATCGAGAGATACTTAAAATGTATGACGTTTGTAGAATTCTATTTATATGAATTGAACTTTAACATCACTTTATCTATTTAGCTTTTGTCTAAGCTTTCAAGAAGTCATTCACTTATTTAATACAGAGTTATATATCCCATTTATAATTTGACCTCTTTAAATGTGTAGATAAAAGAAGACAACATGTACAAATGGTTCTCATTACCCATAATTCTCCAACCCATTCTAAATCTATTTTTTCCCAATCTCTTCCATCCAATAAGAGTGATCAAAATCACTGACTTGGCAAATAACATAACTTTCTTTTAATCTGCTCTCCCCTTCACACCTCATATCCAAGGCATCCACAAGTCCTGCCTAGGTGAATGCCTAGTCATTCAGTGCTGAGCAAAATAAGTGTGGTCTCTTTTTTCCCAGTGGTGGATTACAGAAAAGAAAATGCACATTATTGAAAATATTCATATTAATAGATAACTATGAATCAATAATGTAAAAAGTATTGGCAGCATATAACTGGGGATATTAGGAAGAACTATTTCAAGGAAACACTAGCAGCACTGGGATTCAAAAGCTAATCATAAGTTAACTGGAAAGTGTACTGGGTGTGGGTGAAGTTTGGCCAGTGTTCTATGCATCCAGGTGGAGATCCAGGAACTGTCACATATAAAATCCATGAGTCAAAGGGAGACGGTCTAATTAAGAAAGTGAGTGAAAGCCTGTAGGGTTTGAACACAGAGAGGGATGGAGAGAGATTTTCTAGGTGAGAGCAGAGAGATGGCTAGGGCCTTGGGAGCTGGTCAAGAATTTGATGCTTACCTTGAAAGCATTAGAGAAATGGGGATTACTGAGAGAGAATGGGGTCTCTCTCCTTACTACACTTCTGGTTCTTGGGAATCAAAAGTATAAAACCTGTGTAAGAATATAAAATGGCAATAAGGAAAATATGTAGAGTATATGGTAGTAACAGCGTTTTCAAAGAGGTGATAGTGAATTCATTAAATTTCAGGTTTATAGACAAGGCTCAAGAGAGAAGCAGGGTTCTGAGCAAGGTTTTGATGCACACATAGAAATATATTGGAAGAGCAAGGACAAGGGGAGGCATGGTAGGTGAGTAACACAGTTTGCACAAAAGCAAAGTCTTGTATTCTGGCTACCGGAAGTTGTTGGGAACTGGTAGAGAATAAAACAGGATGCAGAACTGTAAAAAGGTGATAGTGCCAAAATAGTCAATATTAAATAGTGCAGAGACTAGTGTGAATTACTGAAGAATTTGGATTTCACCCAAGGCAATGATTCTCAAATTTTTCCATTTAAATATTCTTGATAGACAATAGCTAGAATGCATTCCTCAGAGGACTTCAGATACAGCCTCAAAAGCCAGCAATAAGCTCATTTGTTTTTAAAAATATGGTACTTCCCTTCAAACATTTGTGTGAATGTTGCATTTAACCATGATTAGTTAGCTTTATTATGAAAGCTCTATAGTGTCCTACTATTTAGAAAAATCAATTCCATGCTCATCCTATGCTATTGCATACCCTGGAAGACCACTTTATATCTCTAGTATCTGTGTCCAGTTAAAGAAACAGCTAAAAAACAGCCTGCCACTGGGACTTCATAAGAGTGACACCATCCAGTTTTTGATTTAAAAAGATCACTCTAGTTGAGAATATGGAGGAAGGATCAGAGAGGTAAAGAAATAGGCATTTGATAAATATTTGTTGAATTGCTCTGTTAACTCTCACAAAAGCCAAGTTTATACAATCCTATGCAATCACAATTGTATGTCATGTCCAGGTTCAAATACGCCTTCTTGAGAAATAAACACAGAGCTGTGACCTAAATCACATAGAATCACATGCTGTGCAGTCAAATTCACCACAAATTGGCTTACCTCCCATTCTACAACCTCAGGCAGTACATATATTATATGTATAATATATTTTATATAGTATATTTCATATATATATTATGTGTGTATATATATATTCAATTACATCTTTGACTTAGCAAACAACCACAGCTTATCATAACAAGGGTATTAATTAACCAATAAAGTAATTTATTCTAGCATTCATTTGGAAATAGAAATTATTGAAACTGTCCCCACAGGATTCACAAGAATTGCGTGCCAGATTCTGGACAGAAATATGGTTATAATTAAGCATCAATAGACCTGCGTTCTGGCCCACTTCCTTGTTGTTAAATGTCAGGTAGCATTAGATATTGATGACTTGCATCTCCGTTGTCTCTATAGATAGGATTTCTGACATTAAAATCATAAGGCTTTTGTTTAAGAATCACTTAAGATGATTTTCAGACCCCAAATTCCAGCAACCAGTTTGAAGACCCCCACAGAAGAATGAGATCAGCAGGCAAATATAGCTTCTTCCTCTCCCTGTCCCATGACTTCACCCTGCACTCTTCAACCAGTCAATAATCATCATAGTTCAGCCCCCTCTGAAACTCTCTAATCCCAAATTCTTTGGGGAGATGGAATCGAGGTTTCCTTCCATCTCCTCACTGGGTGACCCTATGATTAAACCTCTTTCTCTGTTGTAGCCTGATGTCTTGTCATACTGACTTGCTGTGTGTGTTGGGCAATGAGCCTATTATGGTTACATTGTAAAATAATTTTCAGGATAGAGGAAATTTTCCAAACATGTGGAATTTTCCCAGTATTCAAGACTAAAAATCTGCTGGAGCTAGAATTAGAGGTGGTTGTGGGAGAAATATATTTGCTTATAGAACTGAGTTTTGTCTTCCCTGATCTTACCTTCACCAGCCAAAAGGTCTTGTCACAGGTAGCTTTGTTTTCTTTTTCCTGCCCCTAAAACATTTTCCCTAAAGTGATTTCCTTGATAGTCACTTAAAAAGCACTCAGCCAGGTCTGAAGTGAGCTGCTATTTAAGAAGGATGCTTGACGCAGGCCACCTGGAGCTGGAAGGAGAGCATCCATCTTTCCCAAATGGGAAGTAAGCTCAGGGTGGGCCCAACCTTAGGGAAAAGAGGTCTGGAGTGAGTGGGGTGGACCTGGGGAGAGTTAGAAAGCATTTTTGTTCAGCAGAAAGTGTTGTGGATGTTGCGGCCTAGCTAACTGAGAAGGCAATCCTAGGAGTTCTATGTGGCTTCCACAGGCATTTTATGCAATTCTGACAGAAGAGATTACGTGGTCCAGGATGGCTAAGGAGACCATGCTCCCTTACACCAATTGAGAGAGAATCTTCCTCTCATCTGTTTTCTCTATTAGGCTGGCCACTTTACACTTGGAATGTTTTTACCCTTATATATATATATGTACCACACATAATAATATATACATCATATTATATACATGTACATGCATATATCATATGCATACTATATTCCAGGAAAGTAGGGAATATAATATACATATTATATTAATATAATATGTAAGTAGAGAATATATAATATATAATATAATAAGTAATATATATAATACAATAAGTATAGGAAAATATATATAAAATATAATAAAGAATATATAATGTAATAAGTAGAGAATATATATTATATAATATAATCAGTAATATACATAATATCATAAATAGGGAATGTATATATTATATTCTCTACATTTTAGGAATGTAGTATGTATATTATACATACACATACATATATAACATAATATATATATAATATTATGTGTAGTATGTATATTATACTTATATATACATATATAACACGTGTGTGTGTGTGTGTGTGTGTGTGTGTGTGTGTGTGTGTATTATATTCCCTGCTTTCCAGGAATGTAGTTCTGTGTGATGGTTATAACGTTTTCCTCAGTTTGACCAAACTTCAGATATTTTTCATCCTGGCCATTGGCTTATGATGTTATTTTTCCTGGTGGCTTTATTCTAGAAAAAGCACTATTGTAGTCTTTATCTGTTCCTTTGAGATGTAAATTTTATTCTAGTCTTTTGTCCATTTTACAACCCAGAAATGTCTTTCTCAAGAATCTGGGAGCCATGTTTTAAAAATGTAATCATTACGGAAGTTAGCACTCCTATCTCCCAGACTCTGTGACAGGGTAGAAGCCCAACTTCCATTAAGTGCCAATCAGCAAACATGGATCATGGCCTAGTGACACTGACCAAGCTCCCCTCTGAAAGTCCTCCAGCACTTTTCCATTGTATTACCCAGTGCTTAAAAACACTCCTGCCTTTTGTTTCTGCAGATTTCAGCATCTCTCCTCTGTTGCAGAAGCCTCCAATAGTCTTTCTTGTCTTTTTCACTGGTCTCAATTTTTTCTTGACAAATGCACATTCATTCCTTCTATTTCAAAGATGTTGAAGTTGTTAGGCAGGGGGCAGTCTTATGAACAACCTTCCCTATTGTTTTACCACTATGAGTTATTTCATTGGATCTAAAATAATTTACTTAATATACTCTGATAGAAAAAGAAAGCAAAGAATAAATATTTTCTTAATAATTGTGTGAAGACAAGTATGATGACAATATCTGGGAGGACTTATATCTTCTCCCGAGTCCCCAAAGAAACAATCTAGATAGGATACCATTTATAGCAAGTTAACGAAAAACATTTTGTGCAGTAATTTAGGGGGGCAGAGGATGTAGAGGACAAGATGCTCCTCTTAGTGTAATAAGGGCAGGGTTAAAAACGATTGCTTTCTATGAAATGTAGTGCTATTCGAAGCCACGTGATTTTCTCATATAAACTAACTAGAGGTTTGTGAAAAATTATTTCTTATTTTGGCAAAATATGATTTTATGTATTCTAGAAAATAAATTAACTGCAGCCTAGAGTGGAAGCTCCTTTAGAACACATCCTCTCTTTCACATATGACATTTCCACTCCTACCGCTGTCTATAGGAACACAATTTGTCATTTCATCTTCCCATGGCAAGACCTACATTCACCCTTCCCTTTGCAGAGCAGCAATAACTAGAAAGTAGGTGTAGAAATGTCCTTCATATGTCAATAAGATGACAGATACCTGCTGATTTCTATAAGTTGGTTGGGATAGCTTAGAAAGTGAGTGTGGAAAGAACTTAGATGAATTCGATGAGAAGTAAAAATGAATAGGTTAAATTAAGAAACAATGAGACATCCTTGTCAGATAACCTAAAAAGTTGTGAATTGGACCAAGGGCATAACACGATTTCCCACAAAACAAATTTATGAGAACAACTAGTTCAACACATTTCAAATATCTGTTTAATTTTTGGGGAGGCCCAGAAAAGTATGTTCTAGATAGATAGATAGATAGATAGATAGATAGATAGATAGATAGTCTGTGTGTATATAAAATTATATATAGAGATAAATTATATGATAGAAGTGTCTGTGTGTATAAAATTTTAAATATATGTATATATACATATATATATATATACAGAGAGAGAAATACTGTTAATATGAACTACAGAAAGTGAATATAACTTTTCTGAAGAATTATTTAAGCTAACATTCCCAATTTTTCTATGTCCAGAAGGTAGCTGGATACCTTTCCTTGGAAGCAAAAAAAAAAAAAAATGAGGTTTACTGAAAAATTACGTGTATATTATACTATGTTTAATTTTAGAATTGAATAATTTATTCACACTTTTCCTCATTGGACCAATGAAGTAGACATTTTTCTAAGGTTCTAGAGATGCAGCAGAGAACGTAGCAGCTTTTACCTTACCCCTTGTAAAGCTTATAGTCTAGTTACAAACAGGGACATAGATTATATTCGAATAAACAAATAAATCTAGAGAATACCCCCTAGGTTTAAATGCTTCTGTTTTTGGAAAATAGCAAGGAATACAGTGTGACTAGAGTAAATGAAAAAAGAAAAGAGTTCTGGAAAATAAGGTCAAAGTGTAGGGGGAGATTAGACTCTTGCAGGCAATCATAACCAATCATCTAACCTAAGTAAGACAGGAAGCCACTGGAAGGCTTTGTGCAGAGAAATTAACTGATTTATGTTTCTAAAAGATAATTCTTGCTTTACGGTAAAAATAGACTGGGTAATACTGAGCAAAAACAGGAGAACAGAAAAACATTTAGAAGACAGAGTATTATGAGAAAATGTGGTCACCATTTATGGCAAAGAAATTGACAGAGTGAAATTATTATTTACTGAAATAGATCTGGGAAGGAATGGGATTTGAGAGGATGAGAAGTCAGATATCCAGCTTTCCACAGGGGTAAGCAGTTGTATATATTTGTTTTATGATCAGGGTCCACATTCAAACAGGGAACTAGACAGATACTCAATGCAGATAGTATTTAAAGCTAACATAGTAGATGAGATCACCCAGACCCTAGGCGCTGTGGAGTGTGTGTAAGGAGAGAAGAAAAGCTGTTATTTCCACTCTGATTAGATGAAAGAAACAGCAGAGGAGATGGTGGAGGGAGAAGCCAGTGAGGGAAGAGGAGAACTGAGACAGACCATGTCCTAGAGGATAATTGAAGAAGATCTGATGAACTATGTCAAATAAACCTGATAGGTCAAATAAAATGAGGATTAAGAGTTGATCATTGTGTTAGGCCATCCTGAGACTGTTGGAGACTGCCAAAAACAATGTTGATGGATCGAGATGAAGGTGAATACAAGAGTTTTAATGAAGTGAGTTCAAGAGCATATTGTTGCTATAAAGTAGAATATAGGGATAGGGTGATAGTTGGTGGGTGACGTATTTAATATGGATTTAGATGCAAGAAATAACACCATGTTTCTATGCTGACAGCTATAATGCTTTGTAGGGAAAATTTTATAACACGGTAGAGAGATGGGACATTCCTGAAGAGATGCGTTGGGTAGGCTGCAGGGTATGGAGAGCAGTACAAAGGCAGAGAAAATGGCATTAGCTAAGAGTCCAGATGATTCATCCAAAGTGATAGCAGGGAAGATTGAGTACAGTGGTATAGACACAGTGTTTAGAGAGATATAGTAATTGAAGCTTATAGACATCATTTTCTGACTGCTTCCTCTTTTCTTAGTGAACTAGAAGACAAGAGCATCAGCTTAGAGTAAGATGAGGTAGGACATACTCAAGTTCAACAAAGGCATAACGGGTGTTTAGTAGGAAATAGAAGAAAAAAATGAACTAGAAAATAGAATAGGATTGTCTGGTGAAATTGAGGTCCAGCTTATCGTTAGCATGGTAAATTTTAAAGTGAGACCACTCAGTAGTTTTGTGTGCCTCCTCACTCCCTATATTTTTATTAAGCTGCAAGAATAAAGATGATGTTACCCAATATTGGAGCTTGGCAGAGGAGTAGTAAAAGGGGAGAAAGAACTAAAGGAATTGATGGTATAAATATAATGTTTGGCCATGGAATCTAAGGTTGGAAAGAAGTGAAGAGAGAATATGAGGGGTAATGAGAGATAACTAAAGGGTAATAGTGCCAAAGTATTAAAAGTCTAGGTGGTTTGAAGAATATTTAAGGTTGGCATATTTTAAAAGTGAACTAGAATGATAGCAGGTTGAACTGCTTAACGTTTCTGTTAAGGAGAGGATGCATCTTTTAATAATATCAAACATGAGCTAGGAGTGTAGGGACTGAAGTAAGGCAGAAGACAAGATTAATGGAAGAGAATTAGAGAAACTGAGAGGCTAGGGTCTCGAAGGGATTATCTACCTAGATGTTACAATCATTAAGAGTTTTGAAAGCAGCTGTGTTTGAGAGAGAGAAAGTAAGTCATTAATGCCATTAAGCAATAAAGAGGAAGGTCTCATAATCTGAACTCGACTACCATAAAAGCGTTAGAGTGCATCTTGGCATAATAATATAGCATTTAATTTTGGGGGCTTTGAGAGAGAAAGCAGGGTAATTTCTAGGAAGCAGTTGTAAAGGGTACTGAGAAGACTCCCTCATCTCTTTGCCCAGTAGTATGAGGGATGTGGGAGGGGACTAAAGGCAAGAGTCAAAAAAAAGGGGGGATGTTTAGAGGAGAGGTGGGGGATATGAAGAAGGTTGTTGAAAAACTAGTGTGGTTTCCTCATGGCAGAATGAATAGGTTTCAGCTAAAAAAATAAATTAAATTTAAAAGTACTGTAGGACAGGTGTTATCTGTATCTATTAGAGGGAGAAACTGGAACTCTAAGAAGTTATTTGTTCAAAATTATAAACTTCATACAATTTGAGACATAATTTGAACACTAGTATCATTCCAAAGTTCAAGAACTTTTAAAATATTTTCTGGTCATGATTCAGAAACTCTAATGCAGTTAGGGAAAGAGTAATATCTGTGCACAAATTACCTCTGACCATTTCCAACTTCATTCTGCATGACACGCTAGAAACTAACACCAATCTTTACCAGTTTTAAGATACTTCTGAAAATTACTTTTTTCTGCATCGTTCATGTTGAATATTTGATTACTTTTGTGGACTGGAAACATGTCATATAGTAAAAATAGATAGAAATGGAACTGTCTGGGTTTCAAACCCAACTTCTGAACTTTATTAGATGTGAGATTTGAGCAAATCAATCTCTGTTTCATGTTAGTGATATTTGGATAACAATATCTAACTTGTAGTTATATCAAAATGGTGTTGAGGGTAGTTGGAAAAGAAACTGAAATTCAAAATTTCTTATTTCTATATTATAAAGCATAAATAATTCATTATAATGATGAAATTTTTGTTCTTATTACGAGACACCAGCAAATAAAAGAGGAAGAAGTATGCGATTATCAAGCTGTTTCTAGCTGTTCTGTACCTAGATTTGTGTCTCCATTTGGTAGACCTAGAATAGTTTCTGCTTTTTAATAAAGCACAATAATCAATGTCTGTGTATCCAAAGGTAAACAGAGATGAATAGGGAGCCTGAAGGTAATTTTTACTACAAAGCAAAAGGAGAACATTAGATTTGATACAAATTATTGATAGAAAGACAGAGAAAGAGAAGACTTAAGCAGTACAGTGGAATAAGTAATTGAGTTTTTTGAATTAGATCCCTAATATTCAAATGTAAGTTGTTTGCATGTCTCTGATGTAAAATCCCTCAGTTATATCAAGACTTGATTAAAGTCAGCTACAAAGTCATGCCTTTTTCACTCAGGAGAGTGAATCAATTGTTAGGGGAAGGAATAAATCATCCTCTCAAAGCCATACATTATTTAAAGAATTAGTGTTAAAACTCCACATCAATCCTACCCTACTTTCTTCGCCACTCTCCCCTTTTATTTTTCCTCTACTACTTCTGTGATTTGAGATCTGAGCTCTCCTTATTATACAGATCACCCTACCCTTGGGGAGATAGCAACTTTTTTGCATTTCAGGAATCAGCTTAAAGAGGATACCCTAAGGGCTTTATAATTCAAGGCTAGCTCAGAAAATAATTTAACTGAATGTTTCTCCACTGAAAATACATTGATTAACTCTAACTTTTCATTTAAAGTGAGAGTTGCTCAACCTGGATAAGAGATCATGTTCCAGAGAAAGGGAATGGGTTGGGCTTGTGACATTTCCATGAATGACGGGGGTCCTGGACAGGATAACAAGCACTGACAAAGATGGGAAGAGTGGGTAATTGCATGGAAGACTGAGGTGTTAGGCATTGTGGATGGTGGCCATGGAAGCAATGACTAATACTCTGTGAGGCTGACCATGTTAGCCAAAAGGATTCTGGGAGGTGTATATAACACAGCTCAAATGTTGAAGGAGTGGTAGGCAGATAGTTGTCCAAAAATCAGTATTGAATGGGTGCATTTTATGCAGAAAGATAGAAGGTCATCACAAAAGCCATCAGGACTAAACGCCATAATCATCTTCATTTAGCCAGAACCAGGCAAGCATTAGGAACATCACAAAATACAACCAAAGTGATAGGGAGCCTTAATAATGAATGGCATTAGATTGAGGAAGTATTTCATTGGATGTTGAAAAATAAAGATAGTTGATATTTCTGGAAGCTAAGTGTCAAGAACAAAATGAAACAAGGTCACACAATTCATTTGAAAATAGAAAGGTAACTATCTTATCTTGGCACAAGATGGGAATATAATTAACAAAAGTAGGTATATCTTTATAGCTTTATGGTTAAGACCACTGGTCTAGTATAAGATTGCCTGAGTTAGAATCCTCATTTAGAATTAATGCCAGAGTTAGAATCCTTATTTAGAATTAATGCCTCTCTTAAACAGTTGTTTCAAGTATTCAGTTAGGTCATTCATGTAAAGCAGCATATCCTAGCTCCAGATACAGAGGAGGCACTCAAGAAGTATTATTTTTATCAATAGTTGCACTCTAAATAATTTTGCAACAATTTATAACCACAATTTCATGACACAAAACAGACCTAAAATCACCTAAATTTAGAAAAAATAAAATCTTATTATATATGTATCTACTATTTAGAGAAGAATGAGAACATTGGTCTGAATTTCTTTGGGAGTTGAACAAATTCCTCTACTGGGCTCCTTCCTTTTGATATAATTAGAAACTGCTCGTGGTGGTAAACTGGGCCACAGAATTGCCATACCCGAATAATTGTGTTAGTCTGATTTATAAATACATTATCTGTACGAAAAAACTTCAACATTTTATATTAACAAAGTTTAAAGACTTGCAACATTGAAACCAATTACATTTTAACAGGAAGTCTTGGCTTTTTAATATTTTACAAGATAGACAGATGCTTCCCTACCTGTGACAGTTGTCTTCCCCGGGCAATTAGTCAGTCTCCAACTGAAGACTTTAGTATTTCTTTTTCAGCTCAAGTATCAGGCATTTAAATATGTTTGAAGTGTTAATTAATTTACATTTTCAAAAAAAGCTGTAAAAATGTTTCCAATAGTAGATCTTCATAATCAGTTGCTGTATGGTGTTAGATGTTTACATACCCCCTTATTCATAGAATTGTCAACATGCCCCACATTAGAATTATAAGGGTAAAATGTAAATTGAGAATAGCTACTGGTTCAATATTATAAAATGTGTGAAATCAGGGATATATGCCATATAAGGACTACTAATATTGCTATACATGCTAACACTACTATGTATGTTGACTGGTTTTCAGGCCCCATGTAGGTTATTTGCACATACAATAACTTTGGCTCATATTTTAATGCTGCAGTTGAAACATTAATATCCTTGTTTTGTGTAAGAGATTTAAAATTCAGAGAACCCAGGTATTTTGCCTTAGTTCACACATACAGAAAGTGTAGCCATGATTCAAATCCTAAATTTCTAATTTCAACACACTTCTGTTACACACACTCTGCCTCAGTTAATGGATCCAAGATATACTCACATTAGGATACTCTGAGGAAAGTTTACTTAAACAGGGACAATGTTTTGAAGTGTGAATAGTAGGGTAATTTAGTATTGCATTGCATTGTGAATGATGCAGAAACATCGGGCTAGTGCTAGAAGAGCTGTTACTATTTCTGGTCCTGTGCTAGAATAGGGTAGCAAATGGTAATTTAAATATAGTGTTGTGTTAAAAAAAATGCACTTTGAAAAAAAAATAGCCTTTGGTGGAGAGCACAGCAAGCCCATAATGAAAAGCAAGAAGGAAATTACGGACCCAAATATACCAACTTCAATTTCCTTTCTCCTCCTAATCTCCTGCCAGGGCTTCCTATTGTCCTAACACGGCCTTAACACAGAAGCATGAAAGCTCATTGATGGACTTTATACAGGTCAAATCTTTGTTACAGAGTAGTATAGAGAAGGAAAAAAATTAGACATGAAAGGCAAACAGGAGATAATCGACATGAGAGCGTTATATATATTGAGCTAAGTGTGGCTAGAAGAGAGGCTGCAGTTTCAGAAGTAGTTGTTACAGCCTCTTCTCTGTGCTTCATTCTTAAAGTTCATTTTTGAAGATAATGCTTGATTAAACAATGCTTTGGTGTGTAATCATAGAAACATAATTGTGAATATGAATATACATATACAAATATATGTGTGTGCACGTGCTTTTAAGTTCTTTGGAACTGCACAGCAGCTATCTGTTACAACAAGAATATGATTGTCTCCCAACTCATTATTTGGTATGGTATCTCCTTTCTCTATAGCTATCCAGCTATTCCAAAGAAGTGGTCTGTTGCTTACATAAGATCAAGTGGAAACTTTAAAGCCATTAAATAACAAGACCAGAGTCCATACTGGGATTTTGTTTGTGAAGTGAATAGGTGTGGATGAGAGGATCAGAAGCATACAACTAAAATTGTAGGTTTATGTCAACACAGTCCTCTAAATTTTTTTTTTTTTTTTTTTTGAGACAGAGTCTCTCTCTGTCGCCCAGGCTGGAGTACAGTAATGCAATCTCGGCTCACTGCAACCTCCACCTCCCAGGTTCAAGTGATTCTCTTGCCTCAGCCTCCCAAGTAGCTGGGATTACAGGCGTGCACCACGACGCCTGGCTAACTTTTTTTGTATTTTTAGTAGAGACGGGGTTTTACCGTGTTGGCCAGGCTGGTCTCAAACTCCTGACCTCGTGATCCACCCACCTTGGCCTCCAAAGTGCTGGGATTACAGCCATGAGCCACCATGCCTGGCCTTTTCTGTTTTTTTTGTTTTTGTTTTTGTTTTTAAGACAGAGTCTTGCTCTGTTGTTCAGGCTGGAGTGCAGTGGCGTGATCTTGGCTCACTGCAATCTCCACCTCCTGGGTTCAAGTGATTCTTCTGCCTCAGCCTCCCAAGTAGTTGGGATTACAGGCACATGCCACCACACCAGGCTAATTTTTGTATTTTTAATAAAAACTGGGTTTCACCATGCTGGCTAGGATGGTCTCAATCTCCTGACCTTGTGATTCGCCTGCCTCGGCCTCCCAAAGTGTTGGAATTACAGGCATGAGCCACTGTGCCTGGCCTAAATTTTTTAAAATTTCAAAACCAGATAATCTTTTATTTTTATTTTAAATTAAGTATCTTTGGAGTTCTTTGTGCTTTCTAGATTTGGATGTTCATTTTCCTCTCTGGATTTGCAAACAGTTTCTTTCATTTTTTAAAATAATCTTTTCTTTAAAAAATTTCTTTCTTTTCTTTCTCTGCTATTTCTGATATTTCTATAATGCATATCTTGGTTTGCTTGACAGTTTCCCATAAGTCCTCTAGGCTTTCTTCACTTTTTTCATTATTTTTTTTCACTGACTGGATCATTTTAAATGATCTTTGAGTCCACTGATTGTTTCTTCTACTTATTTGAGTCTGCTATTGAAGCTCTCAATGGAAATCTTTAGTGTAATAATCATGTTCTTCAGCTGCAGAATTTCTATCTGTTTCTTTTTATGGCATCTCTTAGTTAAACTTCTAATTTTTGTTCGTGTATTATTTTCTGATATTGTTTTGTTGTCTATCTGTATTCTCTTGTAGCTTACTGAGTTTCTTTAAAATGGTTATTTTAATTTCTTTGTCAGGCCGTCCATAGCTTCATTTCTTTAGGATTGATTACTGGTGCTTTATTTTGTTCCTTTGGTGATGTTCTGTTTTCTGGTTATTCATGATCCTTCTGAATATGCATTTGCATCTATATATTTGAAGAAGTAGGCATCTATATCAGTCTTTACACACTGGCTTTGGCAGGAAAAGCCCATCATCATTCAGCCTATCTAGGGATTATAGATGGACCATCAGGAAGAGATTGCCTGTAGGCTTACTGATAGAGTCTTCAGGCTGGCTGATCTGGTGCCTGGTGGGTGCAGGTGGGCAGGCTTGGCACCTGTGTCCACAGGGGCTAGCCTTGTGTTTGGGTCCAATGGGGGCTGGCCTGGCACTGGGATCTACTTGGGTCAGCCTGTTGACTGGGTCCACAGGGTGGAACTGAAGCATGAGTCCACAGGAGCTGGTACAGGGCCTGGGCCCACAAGGGCTGGCCTGGAGCTTGGGGCTGCAGGGACTTACCTGGCAACTAGAGTGGCTTTGGATCCTGGTTCTACTGAAGGCTTTGTCTTTGGAAACTGGTCTGAAGGCTGGATCAGTGGGTTCTGGACTAGATACTAGATCCTCACTCTGGCTTGGACCGTGGAGCCACAGGGCCAGTCTGGATCCATGGGTATAGGTCTGTGCTCTGGAGCCACAGTGACTGGATTCATGGGTAGAAGTCTCCGTTTTCGGGTCAAGAGGCTGGATCCACGGGTGTGGGTCTTTGTTCAGGGCCCACAGTGACTGGCCTGGAGACTGGGTCCACTGGGGCCAGGCTAATGCCAGTATCTCTACTGGAACTTATCTGGATCCCAGATATGCTGGAAGGTGGGGAATTATCTGGGCTTAGGGAAGGCCTGGAGCCTAGGGTTACTAAAGCTGGTCTGACAGTGTTACCAGCTTAGAGGCTGGATCCCTGAGGGCCAGCCTGGAGCCTGAGGTGGGTGACCATCCTGCACCCAAGGGCAGTTGGGGCCACTAGGGCCAGCCTGGAGATTTGTGAATTTGGAACTCAGGTCTAGAGCTTAGTACTGAACGGAGCTGTCCTGGCACTGGGGCAGACTTGAAGCCTGGGGTTGCTGGGGCTAACCTGGCACTGGGGCTGGTCTAGAGCCCTGGAAGGTCCTGGGTCCTGAGTCTGTGGGGGCCTGCTAGAGGCCTGGAGCCACTGGGGCCGGCCTGGATGTGAGGTTTGCCTGGAGGCTGGATTTATGGGTGCCAGCATAGAGTCTTGGGTTACAGGGGCTGACCTGGAATTGTAGCCAGCCTGGAGCCTGAGTCTGTGGGTACCAAACTGTAGCTTGGGGCCATGGGCACTGAAATGGAATCAAGTGTCACTGGGGCAGGCCTGATGCTGGAATTCGCAGCAAATTTGAATGCTCATTTTCTTCTCTTTCCCCCAAACAGAGGATATTTTTCTCTAGGTTGTGCTACCCACGTTTGAGAAGGGGTGATGTGGGTAATTTACAACACTCCTTTGTACTTTCTCTATTATGTCTTCTCTTAGTTCTGCATTATACCCAGCTGCTGTAATGTCTCATACAGATTCCTTTGCTCTTGGGAATGTATTTATGTGCATGAACAGTTTTTCAAACTGATGTGTCTGTGAAGGGACAAGTTCTGGAAAGTCCTATTCCACCACCATCTTGCTGGCATTACTCTCAGAAACCAGTTAATCAACAGGTAACAATAATAGATTCCACTGACATCTTACTCAAGTGTTTTCCCATTTGTTGTCACTGTCTTCTACTAAAGTATGTTTCCAAGAGAGGAAAGATCTTACGTGTTTCTTTGAAAGTGAATCTCAGTACCTAGTAGTATGCCTAAAATATAAAAAGTACTCAATAAATGTTTATTAAATTGACTAAAGAGTGAATGTTAGGTATCAATTAAGCATTGGAGGAGAAATAGTATGTATTGTTTATATAACTTCTTGTATGGTCGTACTTATGGAAGATATATTTTAAAAAACTGGTTTCCACAGCCTGGTCAACATAGCAAGATCCTAACTCTACAAGAAAAGAAAAAAGAAAAATTAGCTGGGCATGGTAGTGCATGCCTGTAGTCCCAGCAACTTGGAAAGTTGAAGTGGGAGAATCGTCTGGGCCCAGGACTTTGAGATTACAGTGAGCTATAACTGCACGACTGCACTCCAGCCTAGGCAAAAGAACAGGATCCCATCTCAAAAAAAAAAAAAAGAAAAGAAAAGAAAAGAAAAAAAATCAGGTTCACAAATATTGGATGATATTCAACAAAATAAGCTTATATTACAAGAATAGTTGTATTACTTCTATTTTACAGACAAAGAATCTGAATTTTAGAGGATTTAGGTAATTCTCACAAGGTCATGTTCCATATTATACGTCACTGTGATTCAGTTGAAATCCAAACACGGTTCTACTTGCTAGAAAATAACACGTAATTTCTACTGTATTACTCTGGCTGAGTGCAGAGAAGGCTTTCTAGGTATGATTGTTAACAAGACTGGGTTCGAAGACTAAAAGAACCATACTACACTGGCAAGTAATGGCGCACTTTCAACGGCAAATGAAGAGTAAGAGTCAATAGGCAAAGGTAGGTATATAGTGATTCTAAGGTTGACTGGTTTTAATCACTTTAAATAAACTCTTGTCCACTTCACCAGCAATGTTTATCATTGTCCTGCTATTATTTCCAAAATGCTTGCCCAGCCCACATCCCCGTCGGAGTGCCTATAATCTTTGTCATAATCTTTTCCGTTAATTTGAAAGGAACAATACTGCAGAATATTATCAATTCCACAAACCTCTTAGAGGCAGGATGGGAACTTGGCACAAGAGTGGGGCTTTTTTTTTTTTTTGGTCAACACTCAGCTGCACCACAGAGATCTCTGTCATCTTTCATACCTTCTGAGTGTAAAGCAAAGATCAACTTCCTAAAAGTCTAATCAACTTTTCATGCTCTCAAAGTCATGTTAACATAAGTAATTATTTTTAAGGAATTCTTGTTTTGGGGAGAAAGAGCCCCTTTAAAATTTCATAATCTGGCCCTGGGTCACACTTATTAGACTAAAGCTTAAAATAATTCTAGGCAAAGAAGAAAGCACAGTATAGTTCAAATTAGATACCACCACCATCACCCCCATCACACTACACAGTTCCCCCACCTAGTGGCATTTGGTTCTGAGTATGTGGCCCAGGATCCAAAGGGCTCATGTTGGTGACTGAGTTTAAGTGTTAAAAGAATAAAGAGAATAACAAAGATGTTGTTTCTTAAAAATAGGGTAAAAGCTGATCTGCATCAGAAGCACCTAAGAGCCCTATTCAATTTAAATATTTATGGGATCCATGAACACTTACTAAATTTCTGGAACTGGATAAAGGAATCAGAAAAATTTTAAGACGGTTTCCCAAAGTGATGCTTAATGTACACTGGAGTTTGAAATCTAAGTGCTCCCATCTGACCTCGCCTATGCTCACAGGGAGTGGCTGACTCCAGAAATACCAAGCCCCAATACTGTACAACTCATTCCATTAGAACATCTTCCTATGCTAGATTTAAAACTGTCTTTTTATAGCTGCCCACACATTAGGTCAAAATAAGATCACTTTCAACAGTTACCATGAGCACAGAACTCAGTATTCTGAAGTTTTTTTCTAAACTGTAAAAAGCTGGGAAAATCTAGAAGAAGTGCTGTCATTGAGGAAACTTAAGAGCAATAGAGATAGTCACTGATAGAAAATGAAGCTGTATGATTTGATAAGAGACAAATGGAAGAAATCAAATCAACAGCTGATTCCCCTTGCTAAAGGATTCTTTTCCCTCCAGTTGACATTCAGTAGTATGAATAGCATGTAATTCTAAAAAAAAATTTACTTATATTTTTACTTCATTATTTTATTAAAATTTCGTTTTAAATCACATCATGATTTTACTACTTAAAAGTTTGGTTGGTCATTGAATTATAGAATGATAAAACTCCAGTGGTTTTGATTGGTACTTCCGTGTCTGGTGTCAAATACTGGCAAAGTATAATCTCTTGCACTTCCTAACATAATAATGTTTCAGGTTCTGCCAGACTATGTTTTACAACCTTCTTTTAGTTTCATCTGTCTTTTCCTGACTCTGTACCTTTTTCTGACAAACGTTCCCACTGATTGGAAACCGTCTTTCCCACCTCCTTTTCTCCTCCAACAACCACACTTTTTTTTTTCATTTGGAAAATGTGCATATTATTCAGGGTTCAACTCAAATGCCTCTTCTAACTGAAAGAAGTATACGTGTATATTACACATACATACATATGTGAGTGTGTGCGTGTGTATGTATGGGTTTTATGTCTTAGTGAAATCTGTATTTGTATGATAGACGGTTACCAACTTCAGCAACAACATTCATCCTCTTTCCTAGGTAATAATCACTGTAGTTACAATTGCCAGTTGCTCTTACTTATATTCACTGTATATGAGACTCTATTAAGTAATAGTAAAGAAGGCAGGAATCAGTGTCTGTCTTCTGGGTTCACATTCAGATTTTACCACTGAGGGCTACATGAGGTTGAACAAGCCCCTTAATCTCTGTTTTTGTATCCTCTTCTACAGATGAAGATAATTTGAGAATACTCAGTGATTTATGTATAAAATAAGTATATACAATATATACTCTATAATTAATAATATACTGTGGAATATTATTTGAAATTTATTATCATATTTATATTACTCCATTTCACAGACAAGGAAATGAGACTTAGAGATGAAAGCCATCTCTCCCAATATTATATACATAACAACGGATGGGTGCTGTAATAGATGTTTTAACACTGTGTAAATAAATACACACACACACACACACACATATATATATATATATATATATATATATATATATAATTTTTTTTTTTTGAGATGGAGTCTCACTCTGTCGCCCAGGTTGGAATGCAGTGGCCCGATCTCGGCTCACTGCTCCGGCTCCTGGGTTCACGCCATTGTCCTGCCTCAGCTTCCTGAGTAGCTGGGACTACAGGAGCCCACTACCACGCCCGGCTAATTTTTTGTATTTTTTAGTAGAGATAACACTGTGTAAATATTTTTTACCTACGTATATCCTTTGTGACCGATCCTGCACGGAGTTTATTTTCTACCTGATGATTATAGACATTACTTCCACACACCTCTAATTGCTCTGCCCAACCATTCAGAATGCTTTTCTCACCCTGCCAAGAGGCAGCTCAGATTTTATCATGTAAATTGTAAAATAAGTTAGAAGTAAGTATAGCATTCTGTCATCTGGCACCTAATTTGGGATATTAGTATTTTTACAACACTAAATATTGTCTGTTCCTCTATTATTCTTGTATGTCTCCTGCTACTCAGCCATCAGGAGTATTACACTATTTAAAATACCCCAAAAATTGAATGTGCTTTTCTTAAACTTATGACAGGCCGTGTTTTCATTAAATCATAATATGCCAAAAATATAAGTAAGAAATATATATATTTTTAGGTAATTAACAGTTGGAATTAGAGATGAATAGCACTTCCTCCTCCTTATCACTTGGTTGGTAATTATAACTGGTATTTTCGTCCAGGGCAATTTTTGTCATCAGCTTTCCTTACAGAAACTTACAGCCACTTTATCTTTTCAGCTGCTGTAATTCATCCAATTTCATATAAGGATTATAGAAGACTGAGTTAAAATCAGACAAGAAAAATACTACTTCCCAGAGTTTTAGGTCTCAGTGGTATTAATTAATGGGTTATATTCAGATATTTTCATAATAATTAATGTACAGGACTAAATAGAATACTTTGCCCTGTCTTGCTATAGAAATTTTCCAGAATGTGTTGTTTTTGATAGTTCTTATATTTCTAGCATGTTCATTTTCTTTTCTCTTCAGTGATGACACTGACAAAGCCACTCTGTATCCTCAAAAGCAAGGATCCTAGGATTGGTCTGCAGAGCTGCAGTACAGCCTACAATCCTCTCTTCCCCAAATGAGACAAATCTTTGAATTCATATTGGAAGTATTATGATCAATGCATGCATACTCCTTTAGGCAGCATCTTTACCTCAAAAGAACAGAAGACCCCATTAGTAGGAATATTTATTCTTTGAGAAACACTTGCTTTATGAGGCAATCTGCTAGGTATTTGGTGTATGTCATTATGAATCCAGATAGATCTTTGATAATTAGGTATTACTATTCCCATTTTATAGAAGAAAAAACTGAGGATATAAGTGGTGAAGCTACTTCTCAATCTCAAAACACTGGGACAAAACAGAAGACAATTGTGGCTGAGCTCATTTGACTCAAGAACGTATGTTCCTATATTTTTGATGTCCTATCCAAAGATCCTTTTCCAGACTAATTTCAAGAAGGTTTTTTTCTGTTTTTCTTTTTTCTAGTAAACTTATGATTTCAGGTCTCACATTTAAGTCTTTAAGTTGATTTTTTAAACATGTGATACAACGTCCAATTTTACTCTTCTGCATGTGGATATCTAGTTTTTCTATCACCATTTATTGTGGTGACCATCCTCTCTTCGTTGTGTGTTTTTAGCACCCTTGTCAAAAATCAGTTGACTATAGATGTGTGAATTTATACATCTTAACTATGTACAACTTGTAATTGTCAATTATACCTCAAGAAAGTTGGAAAAAACGTATGTTCTTTATAGTTACTATCTATGTCGGGTTGACTCTAGAGGATTTAAGAAAAGAAAAAGAAGACTGCATAATTGCCAGTGACGTGAAAAAGAACACTGTGAGAGGTCAAACTTGGGAGCAGTAGTAGAAACAGAAAACTTGAGAGGTTTTTGTGTTTTAGTCACTTTGTTGTTAAGTCTTGAACAAATTCATGGCACATATTTGCTCTCCATGTCTGTTGAACAAATTTAAATTAATTACATTGACTTGGACAACCTAAAGGTAATTTTATTTTAGAGAACATTAGTAATACAGTTCAATTCACCAAACCTGCATACATAATAAAATCAACAAGAAAAGAATTCTTAGAAATATAGATTCCTGAGGTCTCTCAGGCATTGATTCAGTAAGCTGGAACCCAGGAACCTGTAATTTGAATAATCACACTGGTCAGTTTTATTCAACTATCCTGGCAGTTGCCATGTGGATATAATCTAGTCAAAGTGACTAGATTTGAGCTTTGGGGACAAAGAACAGAGATTGAATTCTAGAGTTATTTTTTGTCTTTTGTAGTACGTACTTATCTTCAGTGATTCCCATTTTGGTTTTATATTTAACATGGGAGAATACTGTCTACCTCATGTGTCTATTATAAGAATTCTCTATGGTAAGGCATAGAACACCTGCCACATAGCAGAGGTTTAAACGATCCTAGTAATTTTTATATAAACCCTGTATCTTAACCATCCCCATGCTGGTCCCAAAAAGGAATGTGCTTTTTGATGTTTCTCCATTTTGTTTTTGGTTACACAATGTGATGAGATGCACTCATTGGAATTTTAAATACAAGGGAAAAGACAGTAATGTCTTGGTTTTTTTTTCATACAACTCAACAAATACGAAGTTAGATTTTTTTTCTATTTTCTTTAGATAAGCTCTGCCCAGGAAAGCTAATAACTTGGGATAGATTTAATGGGAAAAAAAAGTTCATGAGTGTTCAAACGGGCCTGGTTTTGGCCCAGGCTTTAAATTAAAGAGTAGGGGCCACTCTGTAGGACTAGATACTAGAAATGAGGTACTAGATACTGGGTACTAGATATTAGGTAAAGCAAATAGGTAATCAAACATTTTTTATCTGGAGATGTTTCTGGTCACACCTTGTAACAGGATCAGGTAAGGCAGTAGGATTAAGTATTGCAAGGCTGAGAATATAACTTGGAAATTAAAGATACATTATTTCATTCATTGAAAAATATTTATTGAATGCAATCAATATGTTATGTATTGTACCAAGTAATAAGAATACAAAGTATATAAGGATTCATTCCTAGTTTGTAGTAGCTCAAAAGACTAGAATCAGGCCATCATATAAAAGATTTACAGCATAACTTTTGTTTTATTTTTTTGAAGATAAGTGGACATGGGAGCTGAATCAAAGAGTACCACACCTAGACCAATGGCCAAGGAAGTTATGCTAGACCCATGAGACAGGTAGAAGCTAACAAGTCGGAAAGGGACACATGAGGATAATAAGATTCTACAAAAATTAATGAATAGGGAAAGGATTTTTCTTGTTTTGAATTGTTGAAAATGAATGTCAATGTTCCAACCCTGCACTCATTTTTTTCTTGAAGGAAAAAAGCCATGTGATTTCAATCATGACAAAGGCTCTAATTATTGATCTGTTAGATGAGATGCTAATATAATTCTCATAGTATTAGTGTGAGGATGAAATACAATAAATTATGGAAGTAATTACATACCAGTATCTCCCTGCTTCACAAATTATCTAGCATGGATTCTGGATATATTAAAGCATTTCTATTGGAAAAGTGAGCAGTATTAGGGTGTGGTCACACTTATTTCAGAGGATGATTAGTTTATTTACTCACTGAGAAGTAATAATCATTTATGGAGAAAAATGTGGAACAAATCCCTTTTGATCTCACACGGTGCATAAACCAAACTGAATTGAGATTCCTAAAATATAACAAAGTTAAATGAAAGCAGTTGTCTCCTAAAGATAAATAGAGGCATGTGTGTCCTTTAGTGTCCCATTACGATTCAGTTGACAGCAGGAATGTAGTTCTTTTAAAGTTAAACAAAGCTATAGATTCTCCTGAGATATTAATGCGCTTGCTGAAGAAAATGTTCCAGGAAATTAAAACAAATATAGAAGTATCACAACATTAGAGGGAGTGTTCCAGGAGAAGAAAAAAAGGAAGATTCAAGAAAAAAATAATCCACTTTGAATCTGCATTTAATGCCTCTTTCGCTTTGTGTGCGTGTGTGTGTGTGTGTGTGTATGTTTATAATTAAAGATTAAGAAGAGATGGTGTCTACCTCCAAAGATTCTAACCAAGGGCACAAAAATTGCAAGTAAACTATTGATTAGCATTGTGTTCTACAAAAGTGTTCTAGAAAACAGTAATTTCCAAAGAGTGTGGGAAAGGTACTATCTCTTCTTGCTTTTAGGAAGGAAGTCACACAAGTCTTTACAGAGAGGCCACCAATTTTATCTTGAAATCAGCATGGGATTGAGGGGTAGTGACATTTCAGGAAGTGGAAAAAGTGTGTGCAAAGGCAAAAGGAGGTATTTAGGGAATTATGAAAAAGTCATTGACTGAAGTACAGGTTGGGAGGAGAATAGACTGAAGAAGCAAAGAAATGCACACTTTGAAAGGGCCTCATGAATGATACCATAGGAGGCCATTCAAGGTGTTCACATACTTGACTGCTTAATTTCTTATTATCTACATGTGCATAAGCAAATGATGGATGGTTATCAAGTGCTTTTATGTCCAATATCCAGTTGAATTCTCATGTCACTATGTAATAGCCATAGCAAAGGATTTTGCAGATTGGAGAAGAGATACTGAGGGTATGACATCACTTGGATAATCTCACTCAAATAGGAAGTGACAGGTCTGAGAATAATACTTGGGTGTGTTAATACGCAGCCTCATTATTAGTGAGAATTGCCTTAGATTCAAGTGAAAGTAAAGCTAAGTTACATTAAATGTATCAAAAACAAGCTACATAAAGGTTTTACAAAATCCAATAAAATTTCATCTAAAAGTTTGGACACCTAAAACAACTGGAATAAAGGTCTTGAATGGCACTAAATTAATTTCTGTCTCTTAAAGTCACATTTGTCTCTTAAAGTCACATTATTTTTTCTCTGCAGATACTGCTTCACGTGCTGGGAAATATGATGATTGACAATTTTTTAAGTTTTCTGTTGAATACTTTCAACTATGAGAGGACAATTCCTGCAAAGCTTTCTCGACTCTCATGTTAAAACAATTTTTTTTAAAGGCCTGTGGCCAGGAGCTCGATTCTAGACCAATAAAATCGAATGTAATATGGGGTGGTAAAGTTACACCACATTCACATGTGAATGAAGGAAAAGACAAAACAAATCTCAGAGGTGTCCACAAAAGAGTCAGTTTTTACTTTGTAAAGTTATCATTTATTAAGTAAAAAGTGGTGTGGTGACTTTATTAATACCATGTCATAGCTTTAAACTACAATAGTGAGCTACAAGTATTTCTGTTCCCAAGCTAAGCTATAATTACCTACTGCAGTCTGTGAGACTTTTAGTCATCATTTTTCACCCTTGGAAAATTCTAAGATTAGTGTGATATGATAGTACAGTTTTTTCAGCCATCAAAAAGACTTTGGTTCCATGTATTTCTTAGTCACTAAGTTGGCAGTTTTACCGTATACACATCTTTGAACCTATCTGAGCCTACGGTTTCCAAGCCAGTAAAATAGAAATGATAATGCCACCTTGCAAGGATGTCAAGATAATTAGACACAATTTAGTCTCCCTATAAAACAAAATTAGTAATAACACCAACCAACCAAAACTAAAACTTGAATCAATTAAATGTGAGGTCCATTAATGTAAGTATCTTTCCTACCTTAGTTATCGTTGTATTGCAGTGCCTGACATGTAATTGAGGCTCAATAAATACTTATTAGGAATACAAATATTTAAATAATTGAATAAGTAATTAAATGAGTAGGTTGGATAACTGATACAAGAAATTTAATAATACATGATAATCCGAATAATCATTTCTCTGCATGCAAATCAGACAAATCAATTATAAATATGTCAAACCATGGAAAACAAGTTAATTTGAAACTTTAAACAGATTTCAAAACTATTGGTAATGCTGAAGTGTATTGGCCATTGGTAATTAATACAGACCTTTAGATTTCAAAATGTGAAAAATAAAAACTTTATGTTTTTTATGTAATTACGCAGAACTAAATTTCACAAAACTATGAGAAATTGAAAGGTATCAACCCACTGACAACAATAAAGTATTGAATCTTGAGAACCTATATCGGACTCAAAAGTGATTGGGCTTTTGTTGAGAAAACTCTGATATAGGTGTTGTTGTCATTCAGAATAAAAAAAAATGAAGAGCTACTTTATACTGTCTTTATGGTGTCATTTTATCTGTTATATAAATCCCCTTTCAATAACTTCAGGGCACAAAAAATCTGTTATACTGCCTTTTCTGAGTTATAGAGTATAATCTAGAACTCTATAAATGTTGAATCCAGAAGTAGCAGCTGTGTTATCTGAAATATTGGTTTATTTCCTTTTTACAACTTTGGCATTGATAATAGTTACTGTAATACAGTAATGGCCTCTTCTCCTTTTACCATATTTCACACTATTTATTTATTTATTTAGCCTCACATTCTCTGCTTTCCAGATAAAATAACTCTTCCCCCTATTTTGGTTGTTTTTTGGTGGTCTGTCTTTGTCGTATACTTTGTTTGGAGGCTGTATACTATGATATTGCGTATCTGAGACCACATGTCTCTTCTTGGAACAATTCATCTTCACAGTCATGTTAGGAAATGTGCTTTTTTCTTGCCTCTAAATCCTACTGGAACAATTTTAACCCAGAATGATTTGTGTTATGAAAGCCCACAAGGAGATTTATAGGACCTCCTTCACCAGACAGTTGTGTCAGGCATTTAGGTGCACTGCACTGAGTACTGGGAAGAATGCCATTCAGAAGTACAAATGCCTGCTTCCACCCCTAGCCTCACCTTCAGGAAGCCATGGACTAGCCCAGCTGATTAGGCCTACTTTAATGAATTTCCAGGGTTCCAGAGTTTCTCAGATGTACCTCAAGTGTCTACGTATAGGGTAATGGGGAACATGTATGTGTTGATTTATGTCTCTGCACCCCTGCCTAAAGTAAACAATCTCTATTTTATTGACCTTACACAGTTCCAATTCACATAAAACTTTATTTGCGCAAAGTATTTGTCAAATTTTAATATTCATAGATTGAAAATAAGACAGAAAATAACAGATTCTGGATTATTATATCTTAGGGATCTGAATGGTTATGATAGGTTATGATCCATCTTGGCTGGCTTTGAACAGTCTAGACCAGTCTTGACCAGTTATGACTGGCTTTGATTGAACATGACCAGCTGGGACCACCTCTGATGGGTCTAGACAGGACATGATTGGCTTTGACAGGCCATGAATGATTTATGAGAGACTGATTAGTCTAGACTGATTATGACCAGTTTTGCTCAGTTATGGTTGACTGGCTGGTCTAGATCAGCTACACATAAATATAATTGGTTTTGACTGCTCTACACCAGTTATAAATAGCTATGGCCATCTTAGACTGGTAATGACCAGTTATGAGTGGCTTTGATCAGTCTAGATTGTTGATGATCAGCTTTGACCTATTATGTCTGGCTCTGGTTGGTCCAGTTAATTGACAACCGGTTATGATAATCTTTGACTGATCTAGACCAGTTATGACTTGCTTTCAAAGGCTATGAGTGTTTCTGAGAAATCTAGACCAGTTATGACTGGCTTTGACTAGTCTTGACTGGTTATGACCAGCTTCGACCAGTCTAGAGCTGTTAAGACTGGTTATGACCGGCCTTGACTGGCTCTGATTGATTTTGATTGGCCATGACTGGCTTTGACCCACCAACTGGCTTTGAGCAATCTTTGCCATTCATGAGCAGCTTTGGCTTGTCCTGAACTCATACTCTATGTATATTATATACTACTTAGGAAACACTTGATATGCCTTCTTCAATCAGTTTTCAAAGATTTTTAGTTAGAAACTAGGCAAAGATGAGCAGTTAAGAGAAGGGAAAGGAGAGATTTTCTGAACAATGTCCAGAGTCAACACCTTGAACTGGAATGTTGAAAAAAAAAAAAAAAACACCTGCATCTGCATATCACAAACTATATGCCAGGGAGCATTCACATGCACTAAGCACCTTCTCACTAGCTTCCCTATTTCTCTTCACCAATTAGTGATAGGAATAAGTGTAATGCACTTTCTTGCTTTTTTGAAGGGGTAGCTCTAAAGCACATTCTCTAATGCTTCCCTGAATTTTCCAATGGAATAGAGCCCCAGTTGCCTTTAATACTCATCTGTGCCTCTCTGTGCTCCTGAATTATTTTCTTCCTCTTGTTTGCCATTTATCTACTCCCTTCTGGTGTGTCCTGTTATCATTTCCAACTAAACTACCTGTTCTTTCTCATACTGATTCCAGAGTCTTGTTTTTGAGGCACCTTTAATGTAAGATAACCAGTTGCTAAATGATGCCATTGTCTCTCAAATCTAGCTTCTTATAATTCCAGAGTCTATGGTTTGTCAGTTCTTCATGCTGTTGTCTGTACATGGAAAATGCAGATAGCCTAGTAGAGTGTTTATGTATTTTTAGGCAAGTGGAATTTTCCCATAATTGTAACTTTAATTTTAAATTGGTTTCCATCAATTAACACTTTTTAAAAAATAAGGTGTTATTCATGAAAGCACATGTGCGTTTATTAAAAACAATTGAATTTGACAATGTTCACAGGTAGGTTTTCTATTGCTGCTTCTTGCAGCAAGAGATGGGGAAGTTCTCTGTGACCTTCTGGAATATCTGCAGAGGTTATTGCTCAACAGGCATGATCTCCTATCTGAGAAACCTGACTGTGCAGAGGAAGATTGTGTAGGTCTCTTTGATAAGGTGGGCTGTGTGGAGTGATTGGTTTACCATATGGAGTAAACTACAATAGAAGCCACAAGAAAAAAACCCAAGGAGTTTTGTAACTGGCCAACTATAATGTATTGTAAACCCTTTTCTCAGGCGATTTGATTTGAGCTAAACTGGGGCCATTCCTGAGAAAGAGTTCAGTTTGAAAAAAAGAGCAGCTACAGGCCTAAAATTGAATGGATAAACACAGTTAGAAAAATTGCTAAGCACACTGTTATATAGAAATATTTTTCCTGAACCAAGGAAATCACTTAACCATGTGGGATTTTTAAGTTATTTTAAAATAATTACTTTTCAATAGTAAAAGTAATATAACTATGCTGAAAATTTTAGAAGAGTAGAGACAATATAATTCCTGATCCCATGAGTTTTACACACAAAGTAAAGTAAGTGTTACCATTAGCATTTAGGTGTATTTGTGGGACAATGTAAAATTTATATGAATGTAATTTATGTTATATTCTATGTGAGTTTTTCAATCCTTTTATTTTAATCATTTTAAATTGTTATTATTCATTTATTTGGATGCCCTAAAAACTTTCACTAATCCCAGCCCCTATAATTGGACACACATCTCATAAATATAGCTTAATTATCAGAGGAAAGGCTAAGTAAACAATAACAAAAATGTCCTTCTCCTCTTGTGTGTGTGTGTGTGTGTTTAAATCATTGTGTTCCTAATAACATAGGACACAAATTTGGGTTCACTCCATATATCATGGGTTAATGTTGTATAGTGTCTAACATAGTCTGCAGTTCACAGTAAGGGTTAAGTAAATATGAACAACTCTTAGGTTCTCATCTCACCCATTTCAAGTTTTAAATACAATTAAAATTTAACTTAACATGTAACACAGAGATAATATGGAGCTGGCATAGAAACAAATACATTTAAAAGTATGATGATAGGCCAAAAATAAAATAACTTGAGGGTGAAAGCATGAGAAATAAAGAGAATAATTACCCCTACTTTAAAAGGGAGGTTTAAAAAGAAAAGCTGTATTAGTCCATTTTCATGCTGCTGATAAAGACATGCCTGAGACTCGGCAATTTACAAAAGAAAGAGGTTTAACAGAATTACAGTTCCACAGGGCTAGGGAGGTCTCACAATCATGGTGGAAGGCAAGGGGGAGCAAGTCATTTCTTAAGTGGATGGCAACAGGCAAAGAGAGACAATTTGTGCAGGGGAACTCCTCTTCATAAAATCATCAGATCTTGTGAGACTTATTCACTATCGTGAGAACAGCATGGGAAAGACTTGCCCCTATGATTCAATTACCTCCCACTGTGTCCCTCCCACAACACATGGGAATTCAAGATGAGATTTGGATGTGGATACAGACCCAAACCATATCATTCTGCCCCGGCCCCTGCCAAATCTCAAGTCCTCACATTTCAAAAGCAATCATGCCTTCCTAACCATCCCCAAAAGTCTTAACTCATTCCAGTATTAACTCAAAAGCCCACAGTCCAACGTCTCATCTGAGACAAATGCCTTCCACCTATGAGCCTGTAAAATCAAAAGCAACTTAGTTACTTCCTAGATACAGTAGGAGTACATGCATTGGGTAAATACAACCATTCCAAATGGGAAAAACTGGCAAAACAAAGGGGCTACAATCCCCATGCAAGTCTGAAATCCAGTGGGGCAGTCAAATCTTTAAGTTCCAAAATGATCTCCTTTCATTTCATGTCTCACATCCAGGTCATGTTGATGCAAGAGGTGGGTTCCCACGGTCTTCGGAAACTCTGCCCTGTGGCTTTGCAGGGTACAGCCTCCCTCTTGGCTGCCTTTATGGGCTGGCATTGAATGTCTGCAGCTTTTCCAGTCGCAAGGTGCAAGCTGTCAGTGGATCTACCATTCTGGGTCTGGAGAATGGTCGCCCTCTTCTCACAACTCCACTAGGCAGTGCCCCAGTAGGGACTTTGTGTGGGACCGTAGGCCCCACATTTTCCTTCTGCACTGCCCTAGCGGTTCTCCATGAGGGCCCCACCTCTGCAGCAAACTTCTGCCTGGGCATCCAAGCATTTCCATACATCCTCTGAAATCTAGGCAAAGGTTCTCAAACCCCAATTCTCAACTTCTGTGCACTTGCAGGCTCAACACCACATGGAAGCTGCCAAGGATTGGGGCTTGCACCCTCTTAAGCCATGGCCTGAGCTCTACATTGGCCCCTTTCAGCCATGGCTGGAGCAGCTGCAATGCAGGGCACCAACTCCCTAGGCTGCACACAGCATGGGGACCCTGGGCCCAGCCCTCAAAACCACTTTTTCCTCCTAGGCCTCTGGGCCTATGATGGCAGAGGCTGATGTGAAGGTCTCTGACATGCCCTGGAGACATTTTCCCCATTGTCTTGGGGATTAACATTCAGTTCCACGTTACTTATGCACATTTCTGCAGCTGGCTTGAATTTCTCCTCAGAAAATGGGATTTTCTTTTTTATCACATTGTAAGACTGCAAATTTTCCAAACTTTTGTGCTCTGCTTTTTGTCTAAAACTGAATGCCTTTAACTGCACCTAAGTCACTTCTTGAATGCCTTCCTGCTTACAAATTTCTTTCACCAGATACACTAAATCATCTCTCTGAAGTTCAAAGTTCCACAAATCTCTAGCACAGGGGCAAAATGCAGCCAATCTCTTTGCTACAACGTAACAAGAGTCACCTTTACTTCAGTTCCCAACACGTTCCTCATCTCCATCTGAGACCATATCAGTCTGAATTTCACTGTCCATATCATTATCAGCATATATTATACATATTATATACTCTCTCTAGATGTAGATACATATATTATATGCTCTCTCTCTATATATGTGTGTGTGTGTGTGTGTGTGTGTATGTGTGTGTATATATATATAAAGGGCCAGCATCTTCAGAGACTATTGTGGTAGTTCACAAGTAAACACATTGATGTCCTTTTAATTTATTCATGACTTATTTTCTATTTCACCTTTTATTTTTATTGGATTTTTAATACTAGCACATAGAATACATAATACTGTAGAATGAGGTTTATATTTTATTCTATATATTTTGTGGGCTGAAGTATCTTTCTTCTCAAATCTCAATAAGCTTCTTAGAAAACATGATGAAATCATGGAAAACTTACTGTTTCTGATATTGGTTGCTTCAGCAACCTTAATAATTTTCTGTAAAACGTCATGAGAGTTAAACATTTAAATGCTTCAAAATTAACACTGGTCTAGAACAAATTACAAATAAAATTCATCAGAACGTTCTTGTAAATTAAGTTTCTTATATTTTACTCTGGTTGTGTTTTTGTTGAGGCTTTTACAGATTAAACAAAAAAAATTAGTAAATATTCAAATTGGGAAAGGATCTTTTAGAGCATGTGCTGAATCCTCTACAGTTACCAATGACACCAGTGAGGCCCAGATTGAGCAAGAGACTGTCTTTCCAAAGGGTTCACAGCACATCTGGTCCTCAAATGTATGTCTTTCCATTCTTAACCATTAAATTTATGTCTTTCTATCCTTAACCCCTTCTAAAGTCCACTTTATCTGACTCTCTCTCGAAAATAATATATCAGGAAGAGGGGAATATTATTTTTGCAAATAATATTTTAAGCCTTCCTAGGGAATGTATACAGGCACAGAACCATGTACAAACATAAAGGGCTGACCTCCTAACTGTTGAAAACATCATATCTCAGTGATGTTTATTAATTATTAGTACATTTTGTAAATATGCTATGGTTCAGATGTCAACTTTTGATGTTCTTTCTCTCTGAGGATGTTTGAGAAGAAAATGAATTATTTAAATTTTTATGTATGTATCATGAACTTTATTACTATCACACACAAAACATATAACAAACATATTATTTAGTGTTATGATCCCGAAATTTCCTTCACATTTCCCCTTGGGGCAAGTGATTAATATTTCACTGTGTCTGGTATTTTATTCTTTACCCTGAAAACTGAGGTACATCTTTAAATGAAACCAGGTAAAACACTAGAGCTGTAAGTCAGTAAACGGAAGACAAACTCTCACCATGAAACACTAGGGGAAAATAATTACATCACATCAGCTGTGGAAGAAATCTCTTTTAGCCTCTGACTTTTTATGAAAACAAATGGCAGTGGTAAAAGATCAGGAATCACCATTGTAAACCCATTTGAACAGGAGTAAAAAGAGTTGGTGTTTAACCTGAGCCAAGGCTTTTATTCCAGCCTGTCAACAGGACACACAGATGGCCCTGTGGGTTTCATGGTAGCTCAGATCAGAGAGAATCAGTGTCAAACCACACAGAAATGTGCAGATATCCTCAGGCTCACACACAAGCACTGGTATAGTAAAAAATAGTAGTGCCTTGGCACAGTTCAAGGATGAGACTATTAAGTTAGGCAATGACTAACTTCCCCTTAGTTTTTTGTGTTTTGCGTTTTGCATTTTTAAAACCTAAATATTTGGAACTCCCCTATGCTCTACTTCGCCAAAAGTATGAATGACACCAAATTCCATCGTATTCACAGGCATCACTCCTCACCATGACTCAGGAGACCTTTTGAGATTCTCTTCTGCCTTTTTTTTTTTCTGTGCAACAGGTAGTGAAATTCTTTTTTATTTACCCTGCTACAGACAGTTTTATTTTTCTCAGCTTAAGATTTTTAAACATCTAGGCTTCATGTGAGTATGTGACACCATTTTTTTCTTAGAAGGCTTGGAAGTGTCTTTGGTTTGACAAAAAAATAAATGGTAGACATTGGCAGGAGGCAGGATGAAAGGGGGAAATAATTCCAATTGAGACTGAATCACATTTTTCAAATGTCTCAGAGAAGGGAATGGGATAAGCCATTAAAAAAGATCGCTTCATGTATGGAGAAATTTACCAGTAAAATATTACTATCCTTCCATTTAACAAATGAAACAAAAAAAAATAGGGCAATTGCATGTTGAGCAGTTGAGTAACTTCCCAGGCCCCCATATAGCCAGTGAGTGGGAAGCTACAATTCCTGCTCTGTCCTCTTACCACTACATTTGCTAATGGCAAGGTCTGAATGAAATTTAAATGTTACATCTCTTCCATGACTCATAAAATGCCTAGTGTCTGGATAGGTTGATTTACTGTGTGTGGCCAGAAAAGAATCTACAGTATAATAGACTATAAAAAATGCAACTATTAAAAATGACCATATGTTCTCATTTTACAGGTGAGGAAATGGAAAAAGAGAGGAGAAATGACTGTCAATTAATCATTACTAGAATTTATTGAATTCAGCCCTGGTTATATCATTCTCCTTCTTAATATTACTTAATTGCTTCCCACTGAACTTAAAAAAAATTCCAAACCCCTCGTCATGACTTAGAGATACTTTTCTGCCTTTTCTTCTTCTGCGCAACAGGTAGTTGAGTTATCTTTTATTTACCCTGCTACAGAAAGTTTTATTTTTCTCAGTTTAAAATTTTTAAACATCTGTGCTTCGTGACTAAACTTATTTTCCTCTATCCTTCCTTGCAAGCATAGTTCTAGACCAACACCTATTTATAAGTTAGAGTTAATCTTGCATGCCTTTCCTAGGTTAAACAAAATTGCCTGCCTGTGTTATGTTATAACATCACTTGTACTTTTTTGCACTTGCCAAAGTTGAAATTAGTTAATTATATTTTTAAATGTACTTTTAACCATATTCTCTTCTAGATTATAAACTTCATGAGGGTATGGATTACAACAATATATATTGAATGAATGAAAGTAGAATCAAGACTATCAGGACATCTCATCATATACACTGCTGGTGGAGGTGTAAATTAGTTCAGCCATTGTGGGAAGCAGTGTGGCAGTTCTTCAAAGAACTAAAAACAGAATTGCCATGTGACTCAGAAATCCCATTGTTGGGTATATATCCAAAGGAATCTACCATAAAGATACATGCACGTGTACATTCATTGCAGTGCTATTCAATAGCAAAGACACGGAGTCAACCTAAATGCCCATCAATGGTTGACCTGATAAAGAAAATGTAGTACATATACACCAGGAAATACTTTGCAGCCATAAAAAAGTATTAGATTATGCCCTCTGCAGCAACATGAATGGAGCTGAAGGCCATTACTCTCAGCAAACTAATGCAGGAACAGAAAACCAAGCACCCCATGTTCTCATTTACAAGTGAGAGATGAACAATAAGAACATATGGACACAAACAGGAGAACAATGGACACTAGGACCTACTTGATGGTGGAGGATGGGAGGTGGGAGAGGATCAGAAAAAAATACCTCTCAGGTACTGTGCTGAGTACTTGGTTGATGAAGTAATATGTATACCATACCCCCGTGACATGAGTTTACCTACATAACAAACTCAGGCATGACCCCTTGAACTTTAAATAAAAGTAAAATAAAAAAACACACAAAACAAAAGACAATATGGATGAACCTAGTGGACATTATGCCAAGTGAAATAAACTAGGCACAGAAAGACAAATACACATGATCTCACTTATGTGTGGAATCTAACACAGTAGAAATCATAGATACAGACAGTAGAGTGGTAGTTATCAGCAGCTGGGAGGTGGGGAAAATGGGGAGATTTTGATCAAAGGGTACACAATTGCAGTTAGACAGGGGAACACATTAGTATTTAAGGTAATGGATATGTTAATTAGCTTGATTCAATCATTACACACTGTATACATACATCGTAACATCACTCTGTACCCCATAATTACATATGATTACAATTTCTTAACAAAATGTTTGTAATTTCACATACTCAAAATATTAGACCTGACAAAGATCCAAAAGGCCAAGTCAATTTCTCACAGAATGCTTGAATTCTGTCTGCATGATGATGACTTCCTCAAATGGGAAACTTTTTATTTTTTAAGTCAGTATCATCTTTTACAATGAAGACTTTTCTACAGCTACTTAACATTACTTTTCCACCTGTTTGATTAATGTTGCAAATTTTGAGCACCTTAGTATGATCTGTGAGTCTAGAAATGCTACCAATTTTTTTAAATATTGGAATAATTATTTACATAAAAATATTTTCTGGAAAATAAAATAAATGTGTATTTTGTTATTTATTTATTTATTTTATTTTTGAGATGAGGTCTGGCTCTGTCACCCAGGCTGGTGTACAGCAGTGCAATTTCAGCTCACCACAACCTCCACCTCCCAGACTCAAGCGATCCTTCCACCTCAGCCTCCTGAGTACCAGGGACCACAGGTGCACACCACCGTGCCCAGCTAACTTTTTGTATTTTTGGTACAGGCAGGGTTTTGCCATGTTGCTCAGGCTGGGTTTGAACTCCTGAGCTTAAGAGATCTACCTACCTCGGCCTCCCAAAGTGCTGGAATTACAGGCATGAGCCACTGTGCCTGGCTATTGCATGTTATTTAAATAACAAACATTATGCTATATTACAATAGATTTATAATGATGTGTGAAATCCAGTGAAAATGTGTGTAGAGATCTGTGGAACTGGTTAGTGTAAGAGCTAAACTTCATACCTCAGGAAGCCGGAGCCCAAAGTCACTTGTTACTTTACATTATGATTTCTAGTGAAACTAAATATCAATCTGAGTTCAATCAGACGAAACATTTTTCTTCTTCTATATCCTTTCTCTTCCTTGAATTGGGTGAGAATAGTGAAAACTTCCAAGTCAAAGCTCGCTTTTCTCCTAATGAGAATGTCTATTTTATTCTCAGCAATTCAAAGGATCTCTGTCTCCTGCTGACTACCAAATGGAATCACAATATGTTCCTCTCCACTCAAACTTTCCCTCACAGGACAGCATCCGTATGCTGGCAGGCCTCTGTCACGGGAATCTATTTGTTGACACTTTTATTACATTCCAAGAACTATGTCAGTTACTATGAAACACCTATTTGAAACAATTTCATCTGCTGACGAGTTTCACTCTGCATGACTCTGACATCTCAGGTCTCAGACCAGAAGTATTTTTGATTCAATTTTTTTAAAATTTAGGGTATTTAAATTTCAACTTTTTTTCTTTTAAATTCAAATATATGTGGCCAGGTGTGGTAGCTCATGCCTATAATACCAGCACTGTGAGAGGCTGAGGTGGGAGAATTGCTTGAGGCCAGCAATCAGAACCAGCCTGGGCAACCTATAGCAAGACCCTATCTTCATTTAAATTAATAATAATAATAATAAACAAAACAATTGTCAAAGATACGTGCCTTTGATTATTCTAGTCTCTATTTGCAACAATAGTCTTTCACTAGAGCAAACAACTCTTTTTCTTTTTTTTCTTTTTTTTTAAGACAGGTTCTCCCTCTGTCACCCAGGCTGGAGTGCAGTGGCTCGACGTCACTGTAACCTCCACCTCGCGGGTTAAAGTGATTCTTCTGCCACAGCCTCCTGAGTAGCAGGGATTACAGGCACACCACCACGCAGGGCTAATTTTTTTTTGTTTTTAGTAGAGATGGGGTTCCAGCATATTGGTCAGGCTGGTCTCGAACTGCCAACCTCGTGATCCACCCTCCTCGGCCTCCCACGGTGCTGGGATTACAGGCATGAGCCACTGCACCTGGCAGCAAACAATTCTTCTTTGACTTTGAAACCTTCCACTTGAAATTCACTGTAGTGAATTCTTATAATTTTAGATTGCTACGATATCCTCTTCACCACCCTCATCTTCTGGTTAAAGTTGCTCCCTTATCTGCTTAGCTTTGATAGCTGCATCCATCTCATCAACATCCATTTTAAATATAAGTTCAACTTTCTCAGACCAGAAGCAGGGGTCAGTCACCCTTCACACTGTGGCTATTTCTACACTTCCTCCCAGTTCCTCGGGGTGGTCAATCCAGATATCTGCCTAATACAACCTCCTCCTGGTTGTCACTTCCCTATGAAACAACTAGATATAACCTACTTGAATGGTCCCTCTTGGCCCACATGGACTGTGTAGATAGACATCTGTGACCACCTGTCTGTTAAAGTGTGAACATCTAGAACTCATGCCTGCTTGCTTTAAACCATCAATTAAACCTTCCCGCAGGAAACCTGTTTAGATAATGCCCTCGAAACAAATACGTGTGTGGCCTCCAAACATGCTGTGTAACCCCCAAGACCCGCAAGTCATAAAATTATTATTTTCATCTTGTGTTTCTCTGAATCATTGAAGAGGCATTCTCAATCTTAAAAATCCTCAATTAAAACACCCACTTCTGGGTCTCCATCCATCTGAGGTCTTTCAGAAGAAGGCTTATCTCGACTTAGAGTGGTGTTCAGTATCTTCTCATAAGTTTCCACATACAACTTAAACGTTTTATTCTGAGCATAAAATAATACCGTAATACTAACCACGTCTCCTTGAAAAACAGAAGCACCTGATCCTTTAATGTAAGAAGACTGATACAAGCATAATCAATAAAATTGGAACCAATTGGAAGATTTTTCAGAGTTACTGTTGAATAAATTGCATTTCTTGTGTGTATATTTATGTGCATGTATGTATGTGGGTTTTTTGTTTTGTTTTTTTTTTCCTTTTTTGAGATGGAGTCTTGCTCTGTCGCCCAGGCTGGAGTGCAGTGGCTTGATCTCGGCTCACTGCAAGCTCTGCCTCCTGGGTTCATGACATTCTCCTGCCTCAGCCTCCCGAGTAGCTGGGACTACAGGCGCCCACCACCATGCCCGGCTAATTTTTTTGTATTTTTAGTAGAGACTGGGTTTCACCGCGTTAGCCAGGATGGTCTCGATCTGACCTCGTGATCCGCCCGCCTCGGCCTCCCAAAGTGCTGAGATTACAGGTGTGAGCCACAGCGCCCGGCCTCTGGGGGGCGTTTTTATGTGCATGTGTGTATGTGTGTTTTAATGATTTCCAAACCATGTGATCCTTTCTGAAAAGGAAAAACAAAAGTTTTTAGCACATGTAATACTTATTTATTCCCTTTAATCCTTTCAATAGCCAGCTTGAGTTAGAAGCAATAATAGTAACTGATAACGTGATTCAAGGGCAAATTTTTTAGATGTGAGAATAAGTGTTTTCATTTTGAACAATGAAAAATTGTAATATATCTGAAATATGTAGTAGTTACTTATTTGGAGGAATATTCTTGAAATACAGTGTATCCTTAAGTATGTTTTATTTTATTTTTCTAATCAAAGATTAAGTAAATAGCCATTATGGGATTTAATAACTACTATGCAAGTCTTACTCATCCTGCAATAACTCAGAACAACCTCAAAGAAACAAACATACAACTTCCGATAATGGATATAGTGATCTTTCATTTCACCTTATTCTGTTTCTGAGCACACATAGTTATTTGCATATAACAGCTTCATATTCATTAATTCATTCACCTCTATATTTGACTGCTTATTGCTTAGCAGATTCTGTTTTTATAGAGTTATACTTGCAAATAAATCAAAAATTTCTACTTGTTAATCAATATTCTAGTGAGGGAGACAGATAATAACCAAATAAAGATTATTTCGGACGTTCTAAAGTGCTATAAAGAAAATAACAGAGGGAATCAATAGTAGGCAACAGAGGATGCCAGTTAGAAGGTGAAATTTGTGTGGGGGCCTGAATTACAAGAAGAAGCCATCCGATGAAGAGGGCCGAGAGTATTTTAGGTAGAGACAAATGTACCTCCAAGCGTTGAGGTGAAAAAGAGCATAGTCCAAGTTCTTAGAATACAAGGGAAGCTAGTGTGGCTATAGCTTAACGAGCATGAAAGGTTAGGCTCAATTGAGCGTAAGGCAAAGGGTTAGGTCCTGTAGGGATATTATATGCTTATTTACTTCTGTCCAATTCACTCCAAGTTCTCTGGATTCTTATTACCTATCGTGTGGACCTCAAAATGCAATACCTTTATACATTGAATCGAGCCATCAATATTCACTTGGAATAAGTCTTAGCACTAAACTGCCTAATATTGTCAGGGGCATATCAAAATGCGTCATTTTTTATCATGAGCATCTGTCAAGTGAAAATGTGCCAGGCACCATGCAGTTTTGAAAGCAGCATGAGGAAATAGACTGAGTCGAAAGTAAGAGCATCATTCTAATACTTTTCTTCTATTTAGTATCTTTGCTCCATTGGCCAAGGTATCTACCTCTTCTTTGCCCATGTGTCCTGATCTGTAGCATGTGGATATTCATGGTGAATCTGAGCAAATAGATCATTGTTTGAATATATGAAGAACCCTAAAAAATGACACATAGAGACCTGAGAAGGCAGTATGGAGTTAAAGAGATTGTTGAAAATGAAAAAGCCAACAAGGAAACAATATATAGGACAGAACTGGGAGAGCAGAAATAAGCTTAGAACATATATTCATACCCAAAGAACAATGAGAGTGGACATTTCTATGCCTTTAATGTGATAAAGTCTAAGAATGGCTGGTGACTAGCTGTGGCTTTGTTTGCTTGTTTAGTTTTGTTTATGAATAAGAAGAGTTCATCTTATGTTGTAGACTTGAATAGTGCCTGGTACATAATAAACACTCAATGAATAAATGTTAGACGAATGAACAAATGGATATACTGATAGATGTGTATATCCTCATAGATAGGTACCAAAAGCCTTAGTATTTGATGCAATCAAGTATTTCAGACCTCTCTGTGCTCAGGTATGCAGTAGAAACTAAGTGAGCAAGTTCCATCCTAAAATTCCAGGACTTGGAGGCTCTTCTGCGTGTCTATTTAGCAGGGTCTTTGGTGAAATCTAAAAACTATTTAAATAACTAGTGTAATTAGTGCCTGAGAACACCTCAGAAAATAGTTATTTTTGATAACAGTTTTTGATAGTGGATCCCTAGGTCACCTGCTTCGAAACCATCTTGGCAATGCCTTCAAAAGCAATTCCTAGGGCTCCACTTGTATCAGACTGATAAGAATCTCTTAAACTTGAGCCTAAAAATCTGTATTTATAAAAGGTTACTTACTTGATGAATTTTCATTCAAAATTTTGATAACCCCTGTTTCGGTGGCTTAAAATTTTTTTGTTTTCCATTTGAGTTGCATTTGTAGGGGATATAAAGTTAGTCAAGTTGTTGACTCCACTGGGAAGAAGAATTAGAAAAAATACGTAAAAAATATATACAAAATAATTATTTGGATTAAAATAAAATATGAGATGGGAAAAAAGCAGAGAAGCAATGCATGTTTAAAAATGTAGGCTAAGGATGACAGTAAATCTAGTCAACCATGTGATGTGGCTACTTCAAACGCTAATTAATTTTCAGCTATAGTAATAGAAATTGCATACTCATTAGAACTAGGATAATGACAACCCTGGATTTGTCAGATGACCACAGGAAGACTGTGTTCACTTTTAAAAGGACATTAAATAAAACAAAATGGTGCTGGTTTAAAAATAATGTCCTAAGAGAAATAACCAAAGAAATCAGAGATTTCATTTGGGAAAAAAAAATAAAACATAGACCAGTATGCAATTTACCTTTAAATTACTGGAAAGCTGATGTTACAGAGACTAGATTCTCTCAGGGGGCTGAGAGGGAAAAGAAGAGTCTGTTGAAAGTGGCAGGGTGGTTATTTTGGCTCAATATAAAAATGTGTCTATTTCCTTGTACCATAATGTTAAGGGCTATACATAAGTTATAGAAATACTGTTTAAAATGTGGAAAGTTCTTATAATTGTTCACTCTATAAGCATGTTCATATTTGCATGCTCTTTTATAACCATTTCTTTAACAAGTATTTTAAAAATATTTGTAACATATCACTGAAAATCTAATTCAACATTTTATTCTGAAATTGTTATGTGTATTTGTATTGTCCTTTTGTTGACTGCACAATAGCTCACTAATGCTGTATCAAAATAAGTCATTTCTTCCATTATTGATTATGTATGTTTAAAGAACTCTACACAACAGAGGATAAAACATGAAATGAGATACCTCAAGATAACAGAATCATAGTGCTCAAGGAATATTTTGAGGTCATTTCTACAGACAAGCATGTAACGGTTCTTCAAAGTGTTCATGGAAAATGCATATTATAATAAAACTATGCATACATTTCAAAAATTTTTGCACCAAAATAAAGCTGTATAAACTTTTTATAACATGTCTGAACAGGGTCTAGTTTGAGGCACTAATAAGGATAAGATATTCGCTTGAAAAGAGCCTCTTTCACAGCAACATAAATTTTACTAAAATTGGAGAACAGGGCCAGGCACGGTGGCTCACGCCTGTAATCCCGGCACTTTGGGAGGCTGAGGCGGGCAGATCACAAGGTCAGGAGATCAAGACCATCCTGGCTAACACGGTGAAACCCCATCTCTACTAAAAATACAAAAAAAAAAAAAAAATTAGCCAGTGTGGTGGTAGGCACCTGTAGTCCCAGCTACTCAGGAGGCTGAGGCAGGAGAATGGCGTGAACCCAGGAGGCAGAGTTTGCAGTGAGCCGAGATCACACCACTGCACTCAAGCCTGGGCAACAGAGCGAGATTCCATCTCAAAAAAATAAAAATAAAATAAAATAAAAAATTGGAGAACAAATGTTACATTTGTGGGGAAGCTTGGGTGGAAAATGGTGAAATTACTGATGCTTCACAAAAGTTTATGGGGACAATTACCAAAAAAATCAGCAGTTTAAAATGGATAGCTCATTTTAAGAAGGATTAGATGACATTGAAGATGAAGCCTGCAGCAGCAGACCATCTACATCAATTTGGAAGACAATAATTCATCTTGTTCATGCCTTAATTGAAGAAGACTATTAACAGTACAAACAATGGCCAACATCATAGACATCTCAATTGCTTCAGCTTACACAAGTCTAACTAAAAAATTGAGTTGAGCAACCTTTTCATTGGATGGGTACCAAAACTCTTGTGCCCAAATCAGCTACAGATAAGAGCAGAGCTTTCAATAGAAATTTCAAACAAGTGGGATCAATATCCTGAAGCATTTCCTGGAAGAATTAGAACAGGAGATAAACCATGGCTTTACTAGTACCATCCTGAAGTCAAAGCATGATCAAAGCAAAGAGTATCAAGAGATGGAAGTGGTTCAGTCAAAGCAAAAGTGGACTGGTCAACAGCAAAGGTCATGGCAATGGCTTTTGGGGAGGCTCAAGGCATTTTGCTTGATGACTTTCTGGAGGGCCAAATAATGATAACATCTGCTTATAATGGGAGTGTTTTGAGAAATGTAGCCAAAAATTTACCAGAAAAAAATTGCCCAGGAAATCTCCATCAGAGAGTCCTTCACTACCACAACAATGCTCCTGTTCATCCCTTTCATCAAACAAGGGTGATTTTTTTTTACAGTTTTGATGAAAAATCATTAGGCATCCATCTTACAATTTCGATTTGGCTCTTTCTGACTACTTTTTGCTTCCTAAGCTTAAAAAGTCTTTAAAAGCATCTGTTATTTTTTGACTTTTTGATAATTGCCAGTCTGACTGCTGCAAGATGGTATCTCATTGTGGTTTTCATTTGCATTTATCTAATGATTAGTGATGTTGAGCATTTTTTCATGTTTCTTGGCCACTAGTGTGTCTCTTTTAGGAAAGTGTCCATTCCTGCCTTTTGTCTATTATTAATTAGATTATTTGTTTTTTGTTTGTTAATTTGTTTCCGTTTCTTATAGATTCTGGATATCAGACTTTTGTTGGATGCATAGTGTGCAAATATTTTCTCCCCTTTCTTTAGACTGTCTCTTTACTGTGTTGATTATTTATTTTGTTGTGCAGAAGCTTTTTAGTTTAATTAGGTCCTACTTGTCAATTTTTGTTTTGTTGCAATTGTTTTTGGGAACTTAAGAATAAATTATTTGCCAAAGCTGATGATGAGGAGGTTATTTCCTAGCTTTTCTTCTAGGATTCTTATACTTTGAGGTCTTACATTTAAATTTTTGATTATTTTGGAGCTAATTTTTGTATATGGTGAAAAGTAGGGTCCAGTTTCAATATTCTACATCTGGCTAGCCAGTTATCCCAGCACTATTTAAAAAATCAAAAAATAATGGATGATGGTAAGCCTGTGGAGAATAGGGAACACTTATACACTATTGGTAGGAGTGCAAATTAGTTCAGCTACTGTGGAAATGGGTTTGGAGTTTTCTCAGAAAACTTAAAATAGCACTACCATTCAACCCAGCAATCCCATTACTGGGTATATACCCAAAGGAGAATAAATCATTCTACAAAAAACATACATGAAGTTGTATGTTCATTACAATGCTATTCACAATAGCAAAGACATGGTATTGACCTAGGTGCCGATCAATTGTGGATTGAATAAAGAATGTGTGGTACATGTATTTCACGGAATACTATGCAGCTACAAAAAAGAATGAAGTCATGTGTTTTGCAGCAACATGGATGCAGTTGGAAGCCATTATCCTAAGCAAACTAATGCAGGAACAGAAAACCAAATACCACATTCTCATTTATAAATAGGAAGTAAACATTGAGTTCACATGCACATAAGGATGGGAACAATAGACCCTGGGGACTACTAGGAGGGGAGAGGGGAAAGGGGAATGGGGTGAAAAACTATTTATTGTGTACTATGCTCACTACCTTTGTGAAGGGACCAACTGTACCAGAAATGTCAGCATCACACAATATGCCCATGTAACAAACCTAATATATAACCCCTGAATACAAAATAAAAGGTAAAATACTCTTTTAAAATGTAAAGATGACCCATTTTTTTCAGTTAATAATTTACAAAATACTTCATTGGTATGGTTAAACTCTCAGAATTCTCAGTTCTTTAGGGTTAAACTAAATGGCTGATGTTGTGGCTTACAACATGTTTTGTTGTGACCTAGATGGAGCTTATGTTGAGAAATAAAGTTTATACTTTTTGATTTTATCATTTATTTCCATTTTTTCATGAACTCTTTGAAGTCTCCTCAAATTTTACGAAGAATAGGTTTACAGTAATAAGGAGCACTACCTTAGGAAACTTGATGTATTAGCCTTTCTCACACTGCTAATAAAGACATAACTGAGACTGGGTAATTTATAAAGGAAAGAGGTTTAATTGACTCACAGTTCCACATGGCTGGGGAGGCCTCACAATCATGGCATAAGAGCAAGAAACATCTTACATTGCAACAGGCAAGGGAGAGCTTGTGCAGGGGAACTCCCCTTTATAAAACCATCAGATCTCATGAGACTTATTCACTATCATAAGAATAGCATGGGAAAAAACCCACCCCCATGATTCAATTACCTCCCAACTAGTCCCTCCCACGACATGTGGGAATTGTGGGAGCTACATTTAAGATGAGATTTGGGTGGGGACACAGCCAAACCATATCACTTGGTAAGAGAAGAACCACTTCTGCTTGCTAGACCAGTGCTCTTTTTCCACCACCACCACATCAGATGGAACCTGTTCTCTTGCTCTAGAAGGGTAGAAACCCGGTGATTACTTGCATAGTCATCATAGAGGGGAAATTACTAAAGGGAGGCCATTCAGCATAGCCATTAAAACCCTTTTTGACATGGAGATTATATGGCTCTGCATATTAAGGGCTAGTCCTGAAGGAGGAAAGATCATTATTTCCTAGAGCAACTTCAGAATATTCCCTAGAAGAAAGAGGCATGAACTAAAACAGGAAGACGATAGAGGGCTCTAAGCTATTAATTGTGCTGAGTTATATACACTGCTACGGAATTCAAAACTGTGCATGTTTATGAATTTGGCATAAAGGCATTATAATTAGGAAAATTAATATCTAAATGTGTGATATGTATTAACTCATGGATGCCTTACAATAAAGTTGTAGCTACTTTCTGTGATTATTTTCATTTTATAGAGTTTTTTTTTTAACTCATATATGATCAGAATGGGCCATCAGGATACAACCTGAGCCTGATAAACGTGCTGTATATTTTCTAGTCTTCCATCCTTCTGTTCAACCATTTCAGGCAAACAAGTTTAATCTTAAAATTAAGCTTTCTGGAAAGACTTTGCAATGTAATCAAGGAATGTTTAAGGTATTTCCGTGGGGCAAAAACCAGGTGTCTTGGTAGGTGTGTCGTTATACATACCAGATAGATGTTTTTATATTCAACTGTCTTTTTTTTTAAAATCTTATTTTCATAACAGCTCCTAAAATTGAAGCTAATTAAATACAGTATTTCTACTTTATCTGCAGAAGACATCCACTGCCAGATTTGTTCAGCTATGTAAGGCTGTCTATAATTTCTCACTTAAGAAGGTAATTTATTCATGACACTAATTGATAATGAAGTGATTATTAAAGCTATGTGGTGTGTCATTTCTTTCCGTTTCTGTGTCATTGTACACTGAGTTGGAATCTGTCTTTTCTGAATCTCTGTGCCAGGATAATTATATGGCCATATGTAAATTACCACATCTCATCTTTCTGCTTTTTGAATGAAAACCTGGAATGGAATTGCTATAAATCTATAACCATTTAATACACATCATAAAAGATTTTTTAGAATTTAATATGAAGTATAAGGTGAAAATTAATTTGAAAGAGCAACTTTAGGACATGTTATCAGAAATTAACTTTAATGACAAGTTTGGAGGGTTCTAAACTTAAGTGAAAGCTGCAGGGTAATGCATTTATTCTCTTTACTAACTTCTTATTAATGTACCTGTGACTTGTCCTTTATTTTATGACAAGTTACTTGAAAGGTTGATTTGAGTGAGTCATAGTCATAATTATTAAGCAGTATAAAAAGATAATAGATTTTGGAACTTCTTTTTTATTTTTTTTAACATCTTAAAATACTATCATGAACTCTTGCACTATTGAATCTAAAATAGGATCTTTTAAGTGTATGACTTTAGGCATCAACCCAAACTCAAAAGTTAAAAAGTGAAACTCCATATTGATAAACTTAATTCATTTCTCATAATGTATGGATTTTTGCCCATATGTATAATGTAGAAATTTGGGCATATACATTCCATTCCTTGAGAATCAAAACATGATTTTGATTTTCAGGGATGATTATCACCCACTGTGATGCTAAAACAAAAAATATGTATTTCAAGTAATAGCTAAATACTGGCATTGCCTTTCTTTCCATTGTTCAGGCCAAAAATCTTATTATGATTTCTCTCTTTTCTTTGCAAAGCCATCTAATCAGTCAGAAAATCATGTGGATTCATACTTCAAACCATGTACAGAAGAGAATATCTACCCATAACCTTCAAGTCGGTATCCTCGTCTAATCCACTATAGCCTCCTATCTGAACTATTCAATAGCCTAATTGGTTTCTCTGGTTCTTCTCTTGCTATTCTACAATGTACTGTCCATTCAGCAGTCAGGATGAATCCCTTAAATGTGAATCCAATGTTTCTTACCTGCTCAAAACACTCCAGTGTCTTCTCATCACACTCAGAATAAAACTAAAATTCCCTACATGGCCGACTAGGTCAAGTATAATATATCCTCTAACTGTATCACTCTGACTGTATCACTTGAAACTCTCCTGCTCTCCTATTCAGCTCTAGCCATACTCATTGTATTTCTGCTTCTGGAAATACCTCATGTCTTTATCAGAGGCTTTGTACTCACTACTTCCTCTGCCTAGAATATTTCCCTCTTCAGATAGCTTTATATGCTCCGTCCATTCAATCATATAAACAGTGAAATGCCAGCTCCTCTAAAGGGCTCTTCCTCAGCAACCAATCTAAAATAGTCTCCTTAAATTGCTTACACTATTCTGTGTAGACCTTTCCCTCACTTCGTCTTCATAGCATTTACGGCTACATTAGAAATGTGTTAATGTTGTTCTCTCTCTCAAAAGTGTAAGCTCAATTAAGTAGCTTCCCCATAAATCCCAAGGGAATGCTTGCCCGTAGTGATGACAATTTAGTGAACAGTTGAATAAGTTAATGAATAAATTGATACCATGTACCAATGTATATAAGTAGTAAGATGGATCATTTATCCCAAACCCACTAGACTTCCACATAATTGTGACTTCATTTGAATTTTTTCTTAGGCTTAATTTATTAAAGATTCTTGTGGACCAGGTGCAGTGGCTCAAACCTGTAATCCCAGCACTTTGGGAGGCCGAGGCGGGTGGATCACGAGGTCAGGAGATCGAGACCATCCTGGCTAACACAGTGAAACCCCGTCTCTACTAAAAATACTAAAAATTAGCCAGGCGTGGTGGCGGGCGCCTGTAGTCCCAGCTACTTGGGAGGCTGAGGCAGGAGAATGGCGTGAACCCGGGAGGCGGAGGTTGCAGTGAGCCGAGATCACGCCACTGCACTCCAGCCTGGGCGACACAGCAAGACTCTGTCACAAAAAAAAAAAAAAAAAAAGAACCTTGTACACCAAATTTTCACATACATGATTTAAAACTTCTTGAAAATACCCAACCCCTCCACCAACTATAAATACAATTCCTCAAAGTGGAACTGGAATAATAAGAGTCTAGAGAACAGCTGTAATTGTAATTTGCTTATATAGCATAACAGAAATATTGAAAGAAATACTTTTAAGAGAAAATATTTAAAAACTGGAAAAATTTCATGTTTATGTGTGAAGAATCCCAATTCTCAGGGTGTGTTCTTAAAAACTGGTATTCCCTATCTCCTTAAGTTACCATAGTAACAAGTGACAATATAAACCAAAAATCAGAGGATAAAGAATGGGCTCTAAGAATGAACAAACAGTACTACACTTACTTTCATATATAAAACATCATCGTCGTCATCATTATTGTCATTATAATCATCATGATCAATAATGATATAGCAAATATACAGACATTAAGATGTTTATTTCTTTAGAGATATAAATCTCATTGATTCTTATATAATCTCATGTAATCTCTAACTCAATTAACTCCTGGCAGGCCATCAATATTTTTTTCAGTGCATTCAGTGGTCATTTTCTTGGTTCCCAACCTTCGAATTTCAGACAGTTAATTATGCTTCTCATCTTGACTATTACTCTTCCTTTCATTCCTTGACACTTTAGTGTCTTGGGGCCTCTGCCTCTCACATATTGACCATTTTTTTCACTCTCTCCTTGTTACATTTATATGAGGTTTCACTTCAGTGGGTAGCCAGTAGGGCGGGATTTTGTTTTCCCTGCAGAGTTAAATCCAGGCCTTGACCTCCATGATGGTTGAGTTGCTACCCACCAAGAGTCTGTCTGAGCAGTCAATCTCTCTTCTCTTCAGAATATCTGTTGTTACTTATATGGGCATCAGTCTCTGTAAACAATATACCTGTCACTATGTACAGTCATAGACGTCTTAAAACAAGGTCTAGAGGAGACTATGCAAAAATAAACATGAAGGTTGCATAAAATAGATTAATTTTCATTACCTTAATTTATATGTAAGCAAGAGACAAAGGATGAGAAGAGACTCAAGGAAACAGGTTATAAGAGAAAAAAATTAGGTAATTTTTGTTGCTCCAGGTGATATTTTAAATGTTTTACATTTTGTTTTTCTCATCTAATATCTGTTACAATGTTGGAGACTGAACTGAATATTTCCCATTTTCAGGTAAAGAATTGAGTTTTGCTATGTGCAACTAAAAGCTACATATTATGAGTATATCCAAGACCTGTGGACAACAATTTCAAAAAGCATATCTCTGAACAAATTTTTCCTGGAATGAAAGCATCAAGATTTTCCAAAGTCTATTTGAGCTTACACACCCCCTGCTTCTCTGTCCAAGTCTAATCCAATAGACTCATTTGATTTTGTATTTCAATTTGTTGCACCCGCTAGGATATTCTATCCACATATCACAGGATGGGAGCAAAGGGAAGCTGGAATCTGTATTTTCCCATTTCCCTCCCTGAAATATTCTTTCATTGAGCCATACTAATTATGGTGTAGACTTTTTAATACAGTTATTTCTCTTGGTTAGAATAATTCCTTCTTTGTTTTGAGCCTAGGGGCATAGAGTGGACACATGGCAAGCTCTCTGTTCTCACTAGTTTTGGGTTAATCACTAGGATATTATTATTTTTTGTTTTCTGTTTTTTCATCATAAATTAATTTTCTATTAGACATTTTTATTTTGAGATAATTGTAAATACACATGCAGTTTTAGGATATAGTACAAAGATTTGCGATGTTATCCAGGTTCACCCAACGATAACATCTTTCTAAAGTATAGTACAATATTATAACCAGGTTATTGGCAATGATACATTCGAGTTAAAGAACATTTCCATCACCACAAGAATTCCTCATGTTGTCTTTTTAAAGCCGCAACCACTTCCTTCCTGCCTCATGCCTTCATTAACCTCTGGCAACCAATACTATGTTCCCATGTGTATATTTTTGTGATTTAAGAATGTCATATAAATGGAATCTTATGGTACCTAATCTTTCAGGATTGACTTTTTGTATTCATCATAATTCTCTGGAGATTCATCCATGTTGTTATATGTATCAATAGCTTGTTTCTTTTTATTACCCAGTAGTAGTCTGTGGGATAAACCAGAGTTTGTTTAAATATTCACTTATTGCTAGGCATATGGGTTGCTTCCACAATTCTTTTTGTTCTAAAAATTTTACAGTTTTATATTTTACATTAAATCTATAATCTATTTTGATTTAATATATATATTAGGTATGAGAGTTAGGTTGACAATTGTGTATGTGTATGTGTGTGTCTAGCACCATTGGTTACAAAGACTATTTTTTCATTCTATTGCTTTTGCAATCAAGTGGGCACTTGTGTGTGTGTCTATTTCTGGCTTCCACTGATACATACATTTATTATTCCTCCACGATAATCAAATGGTCTTGATTACTGCTGCTATATAATAAGTCTGAAATTTGGTAGAATAATTTCTCCCTTTTTATTCCTTTTCACACTTTTTTTAACCATTCTAGTTCCTTTGATCTTCTGTATAATTTTAGAATAATCTTGCCTATATAAACAAACAAATTTGCTGGTATTTTCAGAGAATTTGTATAAATCTACACATCAGTTTGGGAAGAATTGACATCTCTATTATGTTGACTTACAATCCATAAATATTGTACACTTTTGAATTTATTTAGACCTTTACTTATAACTTCTTTCGCCAAAGTTTTATGCTTTATTGTTTGAAGCATACAAGTCCTGAACATGTTTTGTTACATTTATACCTATTTTTTGAAACAATGTGAATCGTGCTATATTTTTTAATATGTGTTTCCATGTTCATTACTAGTATATATGAATACAATTGATTTTTGCTTATTTTCTTATACCCTGTGACCTTGCTGAGCCCATTTATTAGTTCAGGGAGTTTTATTTTTAAATTGGCTCTTACCGAGTGCATTTATTCGTTCTAAATTCTTGGAACTACCTATGTAGACAACTGTGTGATCTGCGATAGAGACAGATTTATTTCCTTATTTCATCTCTGTATCTTTTATTTCTTGCCTTATTGGCCTGTTTATAGCTTTTAGCTCTGGGCTGAATTAAAGCAGCAATAGCAAACATCCTTACATTGTTTCTAATTTTAGTGGGAAAGCATTAAGAATTTCACCATTGAATATAATATTAGCTGTACTATTTAATAGATGTTCTTTATCAAGTTTTTAAATTATGAATTACATCTCTTTAATAGGGGACTGTTCAGAATATTTGTTTCATGTTGAGTGAATTGTGGTAGCTTATGATTTTTTGTTTGTCTTGTTTTGTTTGAGAAATTAGCCCATCTTATCCAAATTGTCAAGTTTACCTTTGTCATGCAACTCATAGCATTTTCCTTCTTTTAATGTCTGCAAAATCTGTAATAATGTGTTCTGTTTCATTCCTGATTATCTGTGTCTTCTCTTTTTTAAATCACTCTTGTTAGAAATTTTTCAATTTTATAACCTTTTAAAGATCTAGCTGTTTGTTTCATTGATTTTTATCTATCATTTTTGCATCCATTTTATTGTCTTTGTTCTTTATTAATTTCATTCTTTCTGGTTGTTTTGGTTTATTTCTTCTAGGTTCTTGATGTGGGAGTTTAGATTGTTTATTTAAAACTTTTCTTATTTGTAATGTATACATTTTGTACTACACATTTTCCTCTCATCACTGCTTTATCTGAGTTCCATACATTTTGATATATCACATTCATTTTTATTGTTTCATGTATTTAAAACATTTTTTGAGACTTCCTATTTGAGCCATAGATTATTTAGTACAGGTTAAACATCTCTAATGAAAATCTGAAATGTGAAATGCTCCCGAATCTGAAACTTTTTGACTGCCAACATGACACCAGGTTAATTGGGTCCCACTTGTCAATTTTTGTTTTTGTCGCAATTGCCTTTGGGGACTTAGTCATAAATTCTTTGCCAAAGCCAATGTCTAGAACAGTATTTACTAGGTTTTCTTCTGGGGTTTTTATTGTTATAGGTCTTATATGCAGTTCTTCAATTCATCTTGAGTTAATTTTTGTATATAGTGAAAGGAAGGGGTCCAGTTTCAATATTTTGCATATGGTTAGCCAGTTATTCCAGCACCATTTATTGAAAAGGGAGTTCTTATCCTATTGTTTGTGACTGTTGAAGATCAGGTGATTGTAGGTACATGGGTTTACTTCTGGGTTCTCTATCCTGTTATATTGGTCTGTGTCTCTGTTTTTATAACAGTACCATGCTGTTTTGGTCACTGTAGCCTGGTATTAATTGTAGTATAGTTTGAAGTTGAGTGTTTTGATGCCCCCAGCCTTATTCTTTAAGCTTAGGATTGCTTTGACAATTTGGGCTCTCTTTTGGTTCCATATGAATGTTAGCATAGTTTTTTTCTAATTCTGTGTAAAATGACAACAGTAGTTTCATAGGAATAGCATTGAATCTGTAAATTGCTTTGGGCAGTATGACCATTTTAACAATACTGATTCCTATCCATGAGCATGGAATGTTTTTCCATTTGTTTGTGTCATCTCTGATTCCTTTCAACAGTTTCTTGTAATTCTCATTGTAGACATCTTTCACTTCCTTGGTAAACTGTGTTCCTAGGTATTTTATTCTTTTTGTAGCTTTTGAAAATAAGATTGCATTCTTGATTTGGCTCTGAGCTTGGACACCATTGGTGTATAGGAATGCTATTGATTTTTGTACCTTGATTTTGTATCTTGACACTTGACACAGAAAAATCAACTACATTTATGTGCCTTTATTATCCATCACTTATAATATAATTGTCTTAAGTATTTTCTGTGCATACCTTTAAAACCACATCAAAAGTGCTGTAATATTTGGTTCAATCATCACACATAATTTAGAAATTTTAAGGAAAAATAGTCTAATGCATTGCTGCATTGTCCATATTTTGCTTATCAAGATCTTAATTCTTTCCTGGTATTCGGAATTCACCTTTTGTCACTGATATAGTTTGGCTGTGTGCCCACCCAAATCTCACCTTGAATTGTAATAATCCCCATGTGTCAAGGGTAGGGCCAAGTGGAGATCATTGAATACGGGAGTGGTTTCCCCCACAATGTTCTCATAGTAGTGAATCACTCTCACAAGGTCTGATGGTTTTATAAATGGGAGTTCCCTGCACAAGCGCTCTTGCCTGCCGCCATGTAAGACTTGACTTTGCTCCTCATTTGCCTTCTGCCATGATTGTGAGGCCTCCCCAGTCATGTGGAAATGTGAGTTAATTAAAACTCTTTCCTTTATAAATTACTGTCTCAGGTATGTCTTTATTAGCAGTGTGACAACAGGCTAATACAGTCATTTTCTTCTATTTATAAAACTGACCTTATCCATTGTTACAGAATAGACTTGCTGGTAATAAATTCTCCTGGTTTTTCTACATTTGAAAATGCCTTGTTTTCCCTCTTCATTCTTGAAGGATATTTGTACTGGATATGGGATTCTGGATTATAGTCTTCTTTCAGCACTTGAAAATTATTGTGCCACTTTTATCTTGTTGTGGCTTTATTATTTCTAGTAATAAATTCTCTGTCATTTAATTATTTTCCCCTATAAGGTGTTATTTCTCTCTCTCTCAAGATTTTTTTCTTTGTCTTTTGATTTTCAGAGATTGATTCTGATGTGCCTTGGTGTAAACTTGAGTTTATCATAATTGGGATTTGCTCAGTTTTCTGAATCTATAGGTTTATGTCTTCTGCCAAATTTAGGAAGGTATCAGATATTATAATTTGGAGTACTTTTCAGCTCTTTCTCCTATCTAAAGACTCTTCTCTTCTTTCTTCTTTCTAAATACTCTGCTGACACAAATGTTACATATTATTGTCTCACAGATCTTTAATACTCTAGTCTTTTTTGTTGTCTTTAGTCTATTGCTGAGATTGTTTAATTTCTTTGTTCTTCCAGTTTATTGATTCCTTCTTTTGCCCTCTCATTCTTATGCTGCACCCATTCACTATTTTGTTTTGGTTACCATATTGATCAGTTTAAAATTTCCTTTTTTTAATAATTTCTATTTATTTGCCAAAACTTTTCATTTGTTTGCTGTAATTATCTTTTTAAAAAAAATTTCAGATACTTTCCTACTTGCTTTTTGAAGCATTTTGCTTTTAAGTATGTTACTTTAACATCTTTGTTAGGTAATTCTAACATTTCTATTACTTTGGTATTGGCATCTATTGACTTTCTTTCTCAAAGAAAGAGCCTTCTGATTCCTGGTATGAAGCGTGGCTTTTAATTGAAATCTGAATATTTGGGGTCTTATGAGATTCTGGACTTTATTTAAACTTTGTTTTAACTGGCTTCTCCTGACAGAGCTCTAGCAAAGAAAGGGTTGTTGTCTCATTAGAATCAGGTGGGGTAGAATTCCAGGTTTCCCAGTCAGCCTCTATTGACACTGTGGAGGCTGTTCCTCATTACTAATGGGTTGGGGTATGCAACCTGGATTCCCACTGATACTTTTTGACTGGAAAAGGTAAAAGTACTTTATTTGCTCCTACCCATACAATCTCTACTGACACCAATGGTAAGGTGGGAGAGTATTGCCTTGTTAGCACTGTGCAGTAGTGAAAGTTCTCAGGAACCTAGACTTTTATCCATGCCAAGCTGAAACAGGCACCTAACTCTGCTACGGAGGATAGTGTCAGAAAAGGCATGTAAGCAGCCAGGACTTTCATTCCCAACTGGTATTTAGGAAACCCACACCCATTCATCACTAGGCTTCCTCTGACATACCCGCATGGTGTGTGGGTATCGGTTTCAACATCAATCAGATGGGGATGAAAGTATCTGCTGTCAACATGGCTTTTCTGACACCACTCCAGTAGTAGGGCTATGAAACCTCATTACAGCCTAACGAGATGGACATCTAGTTTCTCCGCTGGGCCTTTTCTGGTGTGAACGAGGGTGGGGCCACAGCTTTTCCTTTGGTGTTTGGCTAAAGTACACCAGTATTATGTAAATATTGTTTTGCTAAGCTACTCTTTTCTTGGTCCTTTGGCTAGAAGAGCAGGCTTTTATTATAGTATTTTTTCTTCTGTGCTGAATGGCATTTCGGACTTGCTGGCTTCTTCTCCTCTAAGTGTGGGAATATATGAGGCAAAGAGAAAACTAAAGGAACTCCCCACTGTGCTGTTCCTTGAGTCCCAAGTTGTGTAGTTTGTGAGCCTTCTTCTTTTTGCCTTTTCGAGGCTTCTTATGCTTGTTTTAAGTGCAATGCCCAAGGTTATTAGTTCCCTTAGAGAAAAGAATAAGGAAATGTATGTCTAGTCTATCTTCTTATAAGGGGAAGTCCCTGCCACACCTATTTAAATAAATAACTTTTTACAAACTGTTTTTCAATTACTCAGTCTGACTGTATCATCCATTTCTTGCTAGATTCCTAACTGATACACCTTACTTATTTATATTGAAACTTTGCCTCTCCTAAAAATTTACTTTTGGGATAGGATACGTGCCAGATTTGTATTCCTATTCATGGATAAATACTTAGGACTATAAATAATTTAAAAGTCACAAAATATTAGCAATATTCCATATTTTAAATTTTTGTGTTTGATCTTTATCTGTGTAGCAATTTATAATAAAATCCCTAAAACTAACTAACCAAAAAGGTCTGTGATTTTTAACTAGCTAATGTTAGGGAATCTTTGGCTTAAAAAAAAAAACAAAAACACAAAAACAAAAACAAAACAAAACTACTCACTCAGAATGCAAGTGGGGAAGAAGAATAGGGTGTACAGCAGTGTCACAGTGGCCCAGAACAAGAGAAGAAAGTACAGTGCAACCTGAGAATGTCCCCGCTTACAATGATTTATTCTGTCTTACCATTTAAAGCACAACATGGCAATTTATTTCTCATCCTGGACTGTATATTCTTGAGAGTACAGACTGGTTCTCTGTACCTCCAGTGCTCATATTAGTCCCTCACAAAAAGAAGGTGACTGGTAAAGAGCTTTGAATGTATTCCCCATACACCTATATAGTAACTTATACTTAATACAACTCAAACATGCTTGATGAAAGAACGGAGACATCGTGTATTGTGTCTTGAAATGAATGTCTTTAGAAGAAACTGTATTTCCTTGCAAAAGACTGAATAGAGTCAATATAATAAATACTTTATCACAATTTTCAAGCGTACATTGACATTACCCAAGGATAATAAAGAAAACACAATAAAGCCATATAATTAAAGTAGCTCAAATAATGTCATCTTATGGAAGGATACACATTGTTTCTCTATCATTCTGTCATATTTTGAAGCTTAATTTTGGCTGGTCTCCAGAGGACCTTTTATTTCTTTGGCCAATGAGAGGCAATCTTACTTGCGTAATTTTTTTTTTTTTTTTTGCATTATAAGATAGAGCGTTCTGAAATCATGTTTTTGAATTACAGTTAATAAAGGTCAGCCATGCAAGAATTTGATTGGTTGCATCTTACTTCATTAGGTATGATATGGTAATACAGGAGATGAAGAAAGCCCATCTTATTAAGTTTAGCAATTTGAAAACCAAAAATCATTTTGGGATAATAGCATGCAGAATTCTTCAAGCTATTGAAGTGTACAGAAGATGTTAAAATAAACCATGGTGCTCTAAACGGAGAATTCATCCTATGCAAGAAAGATGAATTTATGCTAATTGTTCATTTAGAGTGAATAAAATTGCCTTCTGCTTTAGAAAGCACTGATCTCATCAGGGATTTGTAAAGTTGGAGGCTGAAAAAAGTGACTCTATTTTTCAAGAGCAAAAATTAATAAGTAAAATAATGCTACAACATGCAAGAATCTGATACTGCTATAGATATAACCTAATAAATATCAGGAACCTATATTAAAATTTAGAATTTTAACTAAATACCAAAGTCACATTCATCAGTAGTTTTCACATAATATGTCAAGTATTTTAGTTCCAATTCTTCTACATTTTTTTAAGGTTGTGGATCATCAGTAAAAAAAAAACATGGTCAGATTAAAAGCAGTACAGCCGTGGCTAAAATGAATTGAGTAGTACCAAGAATGTAGGATTTCTGCCAAAAGATGAGAGCATACTGTGTCAGAATAGAGAAGCATTCTCCATTATTTCAGGCACTTGTACATTATTGTGCAGAAGGAATAACACTTTTTTTTCCAGAAACACATAGGGGAAAAATATATATGTAAGTCACATCTGGGGAAGAAAAAAAAAATCACAAGCCTTTATTTGCTAGAGAGCCATCATGGAAATAAGGTGCATAACAACCACACATGTGAGGGGCTACTGCTTTACACCTGAAATAAATATGTACAGATGGGTTCAGTACCGTCTTCAACAAACTGACCAAATGGGTTCCCAATATCTTATTTACCATCATTTGCCATGCCTTAAGGAAAGTATTAAAAAATAATAAAAATATTTTATGTAAGAGATAGAAATTATTTAATCCACTCCCACATCCTTTTTATATGTGAGAAAACTGATATTCACGGTCAACAAGAAAACGTTTGTTATTGCAAAGATATTATTTTATATACATATATACACACATATAATATATAATACATGTACATCATGCACACACACATGCATGCACAGTTATTTATATTTTATCCCAGGTCTTTTGAAAAAAAGACTTAAGTGGCCCAGCGCGGTGGCTCACGCCTGTAATCCCAGCACTTTGGGAGGCCGAGGCGGGTGGATCCTCTGAGGTCAGGAGTTCGAGACCAGCCCGGCCAACATGGTGAAACCCTGCCTCTACTAAATATACAAAAATTAGCCAGGCGTGGTGGCAGGTGCCTGTAATCTCAGCTACATGGGAGGCTGAGGCAGGAGAATTGCTTGAACCCGGCAGGCCGACATTGCAGTGAGCCAAGATCATACCACTGCACTCCAGCTTTGGGCAATAGAGCAAGACTCCATCTCAAAAAAGAAAAAAAGACTTAAACTATATATTTATTCTTGTGAACTTTTAGCAAGAAAGAAACAAATGAAAATTATACTGTTTGCCAAGCCTCACCAGCTCTTCGTTTACATTTCCAAAGGAAGAAAACTTACTAAAATAGACTCACAGTGTGGGGTGGAAGATGATGGGAGAAATTCATCTCTACATTTCCCACCTCCTCACATTTCTGTGCTCGCCTATTTCCAAGTCACAAGTGAAGTGAAATGACATGGAAGGTTTTATATAAGATTACGCTTTTCAAAACATCTAATTTGAAGCCCCATTTATGGTGTTCATTCCATTTCAGGGCAACTAGTACTGTGACATGTTTCCATATGTATGTAACTGATTTAGTTGTTCAGTGCTTTCCCATTGGCATTGTGAAGGTGTTAAATCTCACAAGTGAGGATATGAATGTACATTGTAATAATATCCAACTTCCAGCAACTACAAGCTATATTCCTGTGCCACACTCCTGCAAATGGGATTCAGCTTTGGTCTGAATATTTAAAAACAAACAAACAAATAAACAAAAAAAAGTATTTAATTATTTTATAGGAAGGAAGGAGGGAAGAAAATAAAATAAAAACCAAAAACACCCAAATTCAACATTGTTTAAAATCATGCTTTAAAAATTAGAAAAAAAAAGTGAAAATAATTAGATCTCAGTGTTATCAGATGTTTTGAGATTCAAATATCAAATAGAATCTCTATAAATGGACTATACATTTAATTCATATATTGTACACATTTTGCTCTATTTTTTTTTCTGTTCATGTAACTTGAGCATGGAGGATAATAGAGAAAAAAAATTCTGTAACCTCGAACTTCATTAAGTCTTTTTGAATTATCTTTAAGAGAATCTAATGACTTAAATCTATCTCACAGAGCGATTAGTGTGAAGCAATAGTTCTCAAGTGTATTGATCACAGGGACCTCCCCAGGGGGACTTGGTAGAAATGCAAATTCCTACTCTTAAATTCTTACTCAGCACTATTGAATAAGTTCTAAGGTTGGGGCCCAGGAATTTGTGATTTATCAAACCCTCTGGGTGTTTTAGATAGAAGCTAAAGTTTCAGAATACGTGTATAGAAACATGTCCATTAGAACACTCATGGCCAGGTGCAGTGGCTCACGCCTGTAATCCCAGCACTTTGGGAGGCCAAGGTAGGAGGATCACAAGGTCAGGAGATCAAGACCATCCTGGCAAACATGGTGAAACTCCGTCTCTACTAAAAAATACAAAAATTAGCTGGGCGTGGTGGCACGTGCCTATAATCCCAGCTACTCCGGAGGCTGAGGCAGGAGAATCACTTGAATCAGGGAGTTGGAGATTGATGTGAGCTGAGATCTCATCACTGAACTCTAGCCTAGTGACAGAGTGAGACTCCATCTCAAACAAACAAACAAACAAACAAACACTCGTTCTATTTTTTAATCTATTGGGAAATTTCTTAAAATAGGGTGAATATATGCCAAAGTGAGGTTCTGTGTTTTTCTAAGCTTGAAATTATGTCCATTCCCTTCAGATTTCAAAGGTGAAACTTCAATAATTACAATAGAAGAGTAGAAATACCAAAAAGCTGTTCCATCATATATAATTGCCAACATTTTCCCTAACAGAAAGATAAAGGCAGATAGCTCGGTTGCTTAGGTAGAAATGTGTTGGTATCTGTATAGTGTGTTCTCGAGGTTTTCAAATTAACCCTTATGTTCTTATATTCCCATTTGATAGCTGAAATTGCAAGTCTTTATGCATATTGAGATAGAAAGACTAAGGGAAGAAGAAGCGAGAAGGCGGCTCTCCAGTTGAGACAGGTTAATTGCAAGTAAACCTGAGAAGGGCTTCTGGCCAGCAAGGTCAGGAGCAAGCTTCTCTTACAGCCCAAGGGTTTTTTAAAGGGCCCAATGGAGAAGTGTGCTTCGAAGCAAGATTCTGTTAGGGAGGGGTTGGCAAAGTGCTGGCTGTTCTGTGAGGATTCTGTGAGGATTAGCGCCCTTATGCTCTGTTGAAGCTGTGGGAAGGGCTGACATTTGCCGTTTTGGCCAGGTGGCCAAACAGAAATTTAAAGCTTAAGATGGTGGGGTGTTGTGAAGATGGTGGTACTCTTGTCCTATCATATTAAGTGGCTGATAATGGTTAAAAAGCAAATAGATGAAGAAAAGGTAGCCCTTAAATATGTTAGCAGTTATTCAGTTTGAGGAAATGAGAGCTGAGCTGAGCTGAGCGTTAGATATTTGAGACCATTTTCTTTTTACAGTAACAACTTTTGTGTGAATAATATATATGAGGACTGAATTCGGCATGAAGAAGTAAGGTATTTGAAAATATTATTAGGCCAGGTGTGGTGGCTCACGCCTGTAATCCCAGCACTTTGGGAGGCTGAGGTGGCCAGATTACTTGAGGTCAGGAGCTCGAGACCAGCCCGGCCAACATGGTGAAATCTGTCTCTACTAAAAATACAAAAATTAGCTGGGCATGATGGCAAGCGCCTGTAATCCCAGCTACTCTGAAGGCTGAGGCAAGGGAATCATTTGAACCTAGGAGGAAGAGGTTGCAGTAAGCCGAGATTGTGCCTCTGCACTCCAGCCTTTGTGATTGTGTGATAGAGCAGGACTCCATCTCAAAAAAAAAAAAAAAGAAAATATTATTATTAAAAGCAACACTGGGGAATTGGCATCATTTAAGCAAATTCACTGAAACTGTTTCACAGGTACAACACAAGGAAAGAGTACCTTTTCTTCTTCATTTAATCTATTCTAAACTTATGCAAAATTATTAAGTTATTCAGGAAATGGAAGAAGAAAAGCTACTGTATGTTTTCTAGTCTACCAATAATTGCAAGAAAGTGAAAACTGAATCACACAAGCAACTGTTCTGTTACCATATTAGTCTGAATTATTATTTTAATCGAAATTCAACTGGCAATTAGAGAACTACATTTTGTGAACTTGGTGAGTCACTTTACTTCTCTGAGTCTTGGTGTTCTGTTTAAAATACAAGGGAATAAAACTGGATCTGTAATTTCTATGTGTGATGTAGAGAACCCTCGATAATTATTGTGATTTTATTAGAAGCCACAGTGGGGAAGGAGTTAGGGGCCCAGATGGAGGGTCCCTACCCTAAACCTTAACACAAGTCAACAAGAGAATCTAATTTTAATGGTATACATTTCTATTTCTACTGTTATTTCTGTTTATAAAATTCTGTACTTTTCTGATGCTATTTTGTTTGTTAGAGAAGTTTTATTCAAATGGCGTCAGGCAAAGCAAGATTCACACTTGATATTTAGGATACTTGATGTATTTTGTTTCATGACTTGAAAACCAGAGTTTGTTGCTTCCTCCCAAACTGAAGGTTGAGAATAGTGTCCTGGGTTTATGTATAGACTCTCACAAAGTTGGTTTTCTGTAGCAACTGATAGTAGAAATTAATGCAAATTTTTTACTTTTCCCCTAAAAGATAGACGTTTTAAAATTGTGAATGCATGATGTATAATAAATTATTCCTGCTGACATGTCTTTTAAAACCAAAATATATCATTAAAATACACACAATTTTTTACGTATTATACATTTTCAAATACATAAAAAAGTTGAAATAAATTTATAGTGAATACATATATATCCACCAGATTCTACAATTACAATTTTACTATAACTTTTATTAACACCATATTTATCAATTTATGAATTGCTTTATCTATCCATGAATCCATCTGTTTTGATTTTTTTGGACATATTTCAGTGTAAATTGTTACATTAGTACACTAAATACTTTAGGATTCACATCGTTACCCAGTGTAAGATATTTATTTACAGTATTTTTACTTTTTAGATAAATTTATGAAACTAAAAACTTAAGTGAATGTTTACTTAGTTTTGACAAATGCATACGTGGACATCAAATTATAGAATATTACTCAAGAAAATTATCTTAACACATGCCCTAAAGATTCAGCAACAGCCACCTTTCTGAATTTTTCCAACATAGATTTGTTTCTGTTTGATATAGAATTTTATATAAATACAATCATACTTTATGTGCTTAATGTGTAAGTCACCGTTCAGTTACCACAATATTTTGAGATTCATCCATATCATTGTGTGTATCAGTAATATACTCCCTTGTATTGCTGATGGTTTTTTTTGTATGAATATAATGTGTTTTTTTAGTCAATTTTTTTATTGATGACTACTTGGGCAACTTTTCATTTAAGGCTAATATGCATAGAGCATTATACACCTTTTTATAATTCTTTTTGTAAGCCAATGTCGGGTTTTTTTTTTTGCCTTCTCTTGGGTGAATATCTAGAAGAATGTCTCTTACATAGAGAAATGTGTGCTTAATATTGAAAAGAAATTTCCAGTCTTGCAAAGTGGTTGCATCATTGTATATTCCACCAACAATTTATGAGAGTTGTAGTCATACTATATTCCTGCCGACTTTGAGTAACACCCAGGCTTTTTAATTTTACCCATTTAAGTGGCTAAATAGTGCTATCTCATTATGATTTTAATTTGTATTTACCTGATAACAAATGCTATTATGCTTTTTAAAACATGCTTATTGGCCATTTGCATAACTGTTTTTGAAGTATCTGTTCAAATCTCTGCTCATTTATTATTCAATTGTCTTTATTATTGAATTGTAGTTCTTTCTTTAGATTGAATACCAGTCCTTTGTCTGTGTCTCCAAAAATATAGATTGTGAATATTTCTCATAACCTGTGACTTATCTATGTTCTTAATGTTATCTTTCAATGAACAGAAGTTTATTTTATGATGACACTTGATTTATTATTTTTTTCTTTTTTGGTGATTACTTTCCGTGTCCTTTCAAAGAACTTTTGAGTACCCAAAATACATGGATACATTGGCCTATGTTTTATTCAAAATCTTTATTATTACAATTGTTATGCTGAGGTCTATCTTCTGTTTTAAATTAAGTTTATGTATTATGAGATTGAGGCTATTTTTTCCTGTGAACATCTATTTCATCCAGCATGATTTGTTGAAAGGCTCTATCTTTACCCATTGAATTACTTTGGTGCTCTTGGTGAAAATGTAAATAGTAATATAAAGTGACTCTTTGGGGGATGTATTTTTATTACATCTGAATTATTTATTGTTATGCTAATATTGTGGTTCTGAAATTACATTTTCTTCATATTAAATCTTGAAATTATATAATTTATCTAACTTTGCTCCTCCTAATTTTTTTTTTTAATTTTATGCCCTTAGTGCCTGCAAATACATTTTAAAATAAGCTTTTAAATTGACTTATAGAAAAGGGCTGCTGGCGTTATGGAAGAATTGACATATTGACAATATTGAGTTTTTTAATCCATGACTATGGTATATCTCTTTATTCACTTTGGTATTCATTTTCACTTATCATTTTGTTTTTTGAGTCTAAAGAGATTCATATATTTGTTAAATTTATTTCCAAATTATTTGTGATACTTTAGGTTGAAATGTTTACTTTTTATCTTATTTTCTAACTCCTGCCAGAATACAAAAATATAATAATTATATACATTAACTTGTAATTTAGGACTGTGATACATTTCATTGTGAGTTTTAAGATTTTGTGAATTTCTTAACATGTTCTACATGAGTAATCATGTCAGTTGCAAATGGAGATATTACTTTTTCTTTTCACATCTTTATGACATTAAATTTATTCTCTTATTTTTCAATAATTAAGACCAACTTATACAATTCTGAATAGAAGTGGGGTAGTAAGCATGCATTACTTTTTGAATTTGGCCAGAAAAGCATTGCATATTTCACTATTAAGTAACTTCAGTCACCTGCAGATTATTGTGGATGTCCTTGTATCAAATCAAGAAAGTTCATTTCAATCTTATATTTGCTCAGGGTTTTGCTTATTTCTTCATGAACAGGTGTTTTTTTCCAACTTTTTAAATATATTTAAATAATTGTATTAGTCCATTTTCATGCTGCTGATAAAGACATACCTGAGACTGGGAAGAAAAACAGATTTAACTGAACTTATAGTTCCACATGGTTGGGAAAGCCTCAGAATCATGGCGGGAGGCAAAAGACATTTCTTACATGGTGACAGCAAGAGAAAAAATGAGAGAGAAGCAAAACAGAAATGCCTGATAAACCCATCAGATCTCGTGAGACTTATTCACTATCACGAGAATGGCACGGGAAAGACCAGCCCCCAAAATTCAATTACCTCCCCCTAGGTCCCTCCCACAACACGTGAGAATATTGGGAAACAGAATTCAAGTTGAGATTTGGGTGGGGACATAGCCAAACCATATCAAATATCATATACTTTTAGCTCACACATTTAAATTCTTGATTACTTTTGAGGTAATTTTTGCATAAAAATCACTTGAACAAAAATTGATCAGTGTAGGGTTGTATTTATGAATGTTGTGTTAAAGAAACTTTGGATAATTATAATCCCCCCAACAATGTTATAATCCCCCCAACAATGTTGTGTGTTTTGTTCTGCTTATTTATATTAATAGGCAATTAATTTGGTTGGATTGGAACTGCAAACCCTTTTGGACGTCATTTTAATATTAGGTCAGTTTCTTCATCCTTAGCTGTGCTGCTTGGAATCTACCTCACAAATGCAGGTTTCAGAGATCAGAATTTGTTCCTTGCCTCTGACTTGCTCTTTCCTGGGATTCCCTTCCCTCACTGTCAGTAGTTCAGTAGTTATGGTTACCCAGAACTCTGTTCTCTGTTTTGTTGTTGTTGTTGTTGTTCAGAACGGAAAGATACTTGGTGTTCTATTTTAGCCCCTCCATGAGGCACTGATTTTGACCTGTGCCCAGGCTAAATCTCATTTAAAAGAGGAAACGCCCTCCAATTATTTCCTGTTTTAGGTGTTCACTGCACTCCACAATGTGTCAGTAATGTTTAGCTCTCCAGTAGTTTGAGTTGTTTTTTCTATTTTCATTCAGAGTTCATAGTCTAAACATAGGAATGTTGGTTTGGTAGGAGCTTACTTGGCCACTTCAGAGGTGCAGTTTTCACACACAAATTAAAGTTATTTTCTCAATGAAGAATCAGTGATTCTTAAACTCCTTAAACTACTCAAGCTTTTCCTTTTTAGATTGTATACTCCTTAAATTTCTTTAATCTTCTATTTTTAATTGATTCCATATTTAGGCTTCTTGATATTTTCCTGAACTGTGTCCTTATATAAACTTTCCTCCAAGTGATTCATTTATTCATACATTCCTTCATTCAGAAGTTCTGTGCTGAAGATAATGTCTTCTTTTAGAATAGGCCTTTTGAGTTCTTATTTAACTCTGTTCAAAAGTGTATCTGTGGATTTCCTGTTGAATTCAAACATCTGATAACCAAATTTTCTCTATAATAAGAGTAAATTAACAGTAAACCATCATAAAATAACGATTTCTGCATAAGAATTTCTATGGCTTTGGAGACAGAGAAAATGAAAGGAAGGGAGAGAGAGAAGAAGAGAGGGGGAGAAAAAGAGATTAGTTTCTTTGGATTTCAAACTTTAACCTATCTCTGGTGCCTGAATTATGATAACTTTTAATTTGCTCCACAATTTTGTTTTAAGTACCTAAATGTACTTAAAACTAATGCTTTATTTTACGTAGGCTTTGCAATCATAACCCCTGCTTCTCCATCCACCACCACTTTAGAAACTATTAAATGTAAATTCTCCAAATTTGATAATTGTCTGACTTAATTGAAGATATTTAATGATTCACCCCATAAGTGTGTTTTAAGAAATGCCTGAATTAGCTGGAAAGAGATGATGCTTACTGATGGGCAGTCTGTGAGTGCCCAGTGTAGGACCTGCTATCAGGTTGCTCTCTTGCCAGGAGACTACTATTATTCCAGGCAAAATCTGGAAAACTATGCCACCCTTTAAATTGATCTGAATTAGGGTTAAACTAACTATAACCTATAGCATTCAGATGAAAGCAGCAGCCTATGTTTTACAGAACAGAAAAGAGGAGATGTTTCTAGATGGAAAAAAGTAGAAATATTCCACTTTTTACTGGATGGAATACCATTGCAAAGACTATTGTAAATTGAAACAAAAGCAAACAAAATTAATGAAACAATAGACACAACCCTTGCTTTTTAAGTCTGAAAGTTTGAAATGGTAGGATAGACTAAGAGTATTCCATATTTGGAGATAAAAACAGATTCAGGTGAAAAAAAAAAAGAAGAGAAACATTTAAGCAAAGTTCAGTTCCTCCAAAATTGGCTTTGGAACACATCAAGAAATTGAAACATAGTGTTGATTGCAAGGACTGAAGAAAGTAATCCAGACCACGGGAGAAATATTTCAATTAGCGGTGCATGCTAAGAAGTTCACAAAGTTATTTTATTAGATGTTGAAAACTGATACTAGAATGGTATTAGATACAGTATTTGCATTGTTCCTGTGTGTATGTGTGTGTATATGTTCATGCACACATATGTAAACTGTTCAAGCTTATATTTAATCAATTATAGTTAGTGTCTGGGATATGACTTCAGTCTTTCTCAAAAAAAAAAAATAGTGCTTGCTGATTTAGACAATCCCAAGTATATTTCATATAATGTTAATGCCATGTGTCACACATGTACATGTGCATGAACACACACAGTGCTGAAATAATTGATAATTATCTTTGAGAAATGATGCATATTTTATTAGCTTTTTAGAGATTTGCAATGTCCAAGGATATATGAAAAGTACTGAGAACTCTTGCATCATGCAAAGTTGTTGGGAGTTGTTTAACCTTATTTATTTAGCTTAATACTTCCTCCTTTCTATCTACATAATGTCTATTAATGAAGAAACAACCTCTTGGACGCTTCTTAGGAGCATAGATACAAAAAGATTTAAAAAGTTATGTCTAGATTTAATGTATCCCAGCTGACTATATCATTCAAGACTCTAGTGGCCAAAGATGATAAGCCAGGTAAATATTAGGTAAAGATTGGCTTGCAACTTCATAAACTCAAGTTGATGCATCATTTCTGACAATCTTAGAGGAGCTAAAAATGAATTTGAATATTCAAAGTAATCTCTTAGGAAAAAAAAATAGGTAATTCCCTTTATGGGGAAAAATCAATGGTTTCAAAAATCTTCTCCCTCTCTGCAAGTCCAATTCATGGACAAAGTTGTCCTTAATCTTTTTAGCACCACCATTCACATTTCCATCTCTACCTGCCTTGGCCAAATTTTCACACACCTCTCTAAAAGCCTAGTGTGTGTTGGCACTTGATTTCCATTACCCTATTCCTCATTTCCTAAATGTATTCTTTTCTCTTCTCTCCCTGAAAATGCATATCAACTTGTTTCTTAAATTTTGTCTGTCACTGGCTGTTTGACCCATTTCCACTTGTATACATATGCACTGAGTTAAACATATAAGAGTTTCTAGAGTCTTTTGGCTGGCAGAGGAAAGACAGAGAGGTGGAAGGAGGGTAGGGAGAGGTTGTGATCATTCAGCTATTTACCTCCTCATCAAAAAAGCTTCAAACATTTTTTAA